>NC_000017.11:6854747-7006262 GCF_000001405.40 Homo sapiens | reverse complement strand
TTCCAGACACCTCCCCCAGTCTCCCCCCACAGCTCCCCTCACCTCCTCTCTCTGCCTCATCCCAGTCTCCTCATTTTCAGAGCCACCCACTGTGTCCTCACTTTTCCTCATCTCTCCCCAGGATTGAGTTCTCTGCTTCTCCTTTCTGGACCTTCTTGCTTTTGCCCCATGCTGGCCTCAGGCCAGAGCCCCCCCCCCCCCCGGCCCCACCATTTCTCAGCTCCTCCTTACTCACCTGGCAATGATCTCCCAGAGCCGTAAAGCATCATGGGCATAGAGAGCACCTGGGAGTCCCAGCAGGCCCCGGTCAGCCAGGTCGTCAGGAGGACAGAGGGAGCAGTAGGTCAGCTGAGCTGCCGCCCGACGGAGCAACTGTACATGGCCCCCTCCACCTGTGCTCACTGCCTGGGACAGGAGATCACAGGTCTTAGAGGGGGAAACAGGGCTGGAGAACCAACACATCTTCCATAAAGTGGGGCAAATGTGGGATTTTCAGATATTAAGACATGGGTATACAGCACTTTGGGAGGCTGAGGTGGGTGGATCATGAGGTCAGGAGTTCGAGACCAGTCTGGCCAACACAGTGAAACCCCATCTCTACTAAAAATATAAAAATTAGCTGGGCATGGTGGCGGGCGCCTGTAATCCCAGCTACTCGGGAGGCTGAGGCAGGAGAATCGCTTGAACCCAGGAGGCGGAGATGGCAGTGAGCCGAGATGGCGCCACTGCACTCCAACCTGGGCGACAGAGCTAGACTCTGTCTCAAAAAAAAAAAAAAAAAAAAAAAAGACATGGGTATAAAAGGGACAGGTTCATAGGTTAAGAGTGAGGACATTCACACATAGTTGATCTTGGATCCTGAAAGTGGCAGATCATGGAGAGATGGATGAGGCAGTCCCATGCCCCGTACCCTCCTCACCTTATCAAAAATTCCTCCATCTGAGATGAGTTGGGTCCGGGCCCGGGTGTTGATTTCCATGGTGTAGCGGATATGGGGGATCAGGAACTGGAGAGGAGGAGATTGGAGGGCGTGACTGGTGGAGGCCATGCTTGGGTCCTTCCTGGTAGGGCCTGGCACCCAGCATGGCGCCTTCTCCTCTTGATGCTTTCCTTTACAGGCTGATCTCCTGCTGTTCTGATCACTCACTCTTGTGCTCTCCAACTTCCCTGTGAGTTGGGCCCTGGAGCCAGACTGACCAGGATTTTAACCTACACTTTACTCCTCATTTGAGACTTGGCCAAGTTAATAACCTTTTAATCTGCAATCTCTTCATTTGTCAACAGGGGGCAGCAATAGACTCTCTTATCTCAGGGGCTGTGGTGATGCTCACCTAAGTGATGTTGGAGAGTGTCTATTACACATAAGAGTCCTGGAATAGTAGCTGTCTGCTTCATTGTTTCTACCTTGAGTATAGGTGCCTTATGAATCAGCCCTTTCTGATTTTCTTTGCTACCTCCTCTGTCATTCACATCCTCTTAAACTAGCCTCTCTGCTTATGATCAAAGCTGCATCTCCATCTTTTAGTTGTTTCACAGTTGGGGGTTTCTTTAGGGGATGGATGGGGAGAATACTTTCTGTCAGAACTAGAAGAGCTATATTCAGCTACCTGTTTAAGCAAATCTTTCTCCACCCCTACTTAAGCACTGTTGGGCCCCTCTTCTCCTGCTTTTCCTTAGCTATTGAAAAAAGGCCATGGTCTTTTTTTAATATTAAAATATTTTCCTTAGCTATTAAAATTTAATATTAAATTTAAATTAATTTAATATTAAATATTTAATTTTAAATTAAAATTTTAATTTAATATTAAAATAAAAATATTAAAATTTAATTTAATATTGAAGCAATTAAAATTAAAATTAAATTAATTAATATTAAATTAAATTAAATTAAATTAATATTAAAATTAAAAATATTAAAATTTAATTTAATATTAAATTAATATTAAAATTAAAAATATTAAAATTTAATTTAATATTAAATTAATTAAATTAAGTTAAATTAATATTAAATTAAATTAAGTTAAATTAATATTAAATTAAATTAATTTAATATTAAAATTAAAAATTTAAATGTTTATTTAAAATTAAATTTAAATTTTAAATTTAAATTTATTTAAATTTTAATTATTTATTTAAAATTAAAATTAAAATTTTAATTTAATATTAAATTAAAATTTTAATTTTAATAAATTAAAATTTATTAAATTAAAAATATTAAAATATTTTCCTTAGCTATTAAAAAAGGCATGGTCCTTACATGCGTTTCTTTTTATCTTAGACTGTTTGTCTTCCTTTCCACATAGTTAACATGCAGGTTTCAAGCAGTTTTGGTGCTTGTCTGAATTGTTGATGCTGGACACTGGCAATGACCCCAATGACACCTTTGGTGTTAAGATACCAAAGCAGCTCACATTAACCTGAAGCTTTTCAGAAGATTCATGAAAGATGCCAAATGTCACGGAAAGGCCAAAGTCCACATGAGGAGAAAGGATGCCTAAGGATAAACAGTCCTTAATAATAATAATTGCAAGAACTAGCTGGGTGTGGCGGCATGTGCCTGCAATCCAGGTTACTTGGGAGACTGAGGCAGGAGGATCGCTTGAGCCCAGGAATTTGAGACTAGCTTGGGCCACATAGTGAAACCCTGTCTCTACAAAAAATAAAAAAAATTAGCCAGGCATGGTGGTGCACACCTGTAGTCCCAGCTACTCTGAAGGCTGAGGTTAGAGGATCGCTTCAGCCCAGGAGTTTGAAGCTGCAGTGAGTTATGATTACGCCACTGGACTCCAGCCTGGGTGACAGAGTGAGAACTTGTCTCTGAAAAAAAAAAATTTGCAAGAACTAATGTTTTTTGTAGCATTTAGCTTGTGTCACACCATTAAGTCATTTTAACCTTTAATAACCTCACGATGGAACATGTGAGGACATCTGGAAATTATTGAGGCCGGGGTTCAGGACTAAGACCCCAGCAATCCAAAGTCAGAGCCTGCATAGGCCACTGTTAAGACATGTGCAGGCTTGACCCTTGTGTGCATCTGCCAGCAACTCAGCTGTCCGCTGGGGCATGGCATTACTGTGGTGAGTGGAGACACGGAGAGGACTGAACTAGGAAACGGAATTGTAAGTGTGAATAGAGGCTTCACTTGTTCGTGTGGAGCAGAGGATGGGGAAGCAGGAGACAGCATGAGATGAATGAAATCCAAGATTCCATTCATCAGACTGGTCTCCATCTTGTCTATGTTACCGAAGGGGAAAATTCCAGAGGCGGCACAGCTATACTGGCCAGGCTTGGGGGGTCTTGGTGGAGGCCCCCAGCTGAAACACAATTTGGTTGTTTTTACCCAGGACATACTTGCATATCTTGCCAATACATCAAACTCCATGTACCTAAAACCAAACACCTCATTTTTGCTGACTCTGGTTTCTTCTAACTTTACTGTTTCTGACAATTACTCTGGTTTGTAAGCTTGTATCATTTTTGTGCTCCCTCTGCCAAGTTCCCTGTATATAAAGTATCATCAAGATTTTAAGAACATTTTCTTAAGCAAGCACAGGTCTTATTTTGCCTTCTCCCAGCAATATATATGGAACTCACTGTTTTATAAAATTACAGTATTTCTTTCTTTCTTTCTTTTTATTTAGAGACCGGGACTTGCTGTGTTGCCCAGGCTGGTCTTGAACTCCTGGTCTTAAGCAATCATACTGCTTTGGCCACCCAAAGCACTGGGATTACAGGCGTGAACCACCACACCCAGCTCTTAAAACCACAGTATTTCTAGGTCAGTATAACACACCTGCCCCAGGGACTTACAGGTGTGGCAGAAGCTTGGACTTCTGGCTTTTCTCTCTCTTGCACCCAGGCACGCTGCAGCTACCATTTCCTCCCTTCACTACGTTTTAGATTCTTTCCTTTTCATTCCTGTCATTACCATGCTAACATACATCTCTATCCACCTTACTGTTGGGCAGGTATGAGCGGCTTGCTGGCTGTTCTTCCTTGCCTTTTGGTCTGTTTCTACTTAGCTGACTCCTCAATTGGGTAGAAACATTCTTCATCAATACTATACTGTTATAGGCTGTCCCTTGTGATTTCAAACTCTAGTACCAGATACTGTTCTCTGGTTGGTTCTTATGGGCATCACTTGTTTTTCTGGCTAAATACTAGATCTAAGGTAGGAATATGGCTTTTGTTTTACTAGCAGTGTTCAAGCCCTACTGTGAGCGCACTGCTAGACTGTCAGATCTCTGAGAATTTCAGAGGATTCCTATATAATGTTAAGTGACTAAACTTAATAAACTTAATTAAAATCAACATCTCAAGATATTGAGACAGTCTCCTCTTCACTCACAAATTGCTACAAAGAGTTTTTGCTGCTGCAATATCTTTTGATATGGGGCTGTTCCTCTCTCTGGGGTCTGAGGGATATGTGATTTAATAGATTAATAAGTACCTTGAAGATGGGGTGCAGTCCTGGGAGGCACCGCATGGTGGCGACAGCGATGACCTCAGCCACCAGGTGAGTGTTCAGCAAGTGATACTGGATCTCGTGCAGTTGGAAATCTGAATTTCGGACCCAGGACTTTGCCAGGAGCCAGGCAAGTGGGGGGTCTGAGGGCAGGAACAGTGTTGGGGTTGGAGAGCTGGGGTTGGGAGGCTGAATCTGGGAGAAAGAGAAATTATTGAACTCCCATTCCGTATATGACATTATAGTCAGCATTCTTGGGGAAACAGAGATGACTAAGTAAGATTATTGCCTTCTAGGAGGTTATAGTCTAGCAGGAGGACTGTGAACCCTCCCAGCCTGCCGCTCGCTAGCTGGAGTGCCCTGATGTCAGGTGGAAGGCAGGAGGGACTGGAAGAAGGGGGTCCAGAAGGAGGCCCTAACAGTGGTGTGGGAGAAACCTGCTGCTTTGGGGTCGGCGCTCAGATGGTGGTGGAATGTGAAGGAGAAGTAGGAGGTGTAAGATTATTGACAGTTCTTGTCACCTGACTGTTAAGAATAGTGAGAGAAGGCCAGGTGCAGTGGCTCACACCTGTAATCCCAGCACTTTGGGAGGCCGAGGCAGGCAGATTACTTGAGCCCAGAAGTTCAAGACCAGCCTGGGCAATATGGCGAAACCCCATCTCTACAAAAAATACAAAAATTAGCCAGGCCCACATGGTGGCACATGCCTGTGGTCCCAGCTACTGGAGGGACTGAGGTGGGAGAATTGCTTGAACCCAGGAGGCGCAGGTTGCAGTGAGCCAAGATCACACAACTGTATTCCAGCCTGAGTGACACAGTGAGATTCTGTCTCAAAAAAAAAAAAGAAATTGCGAGAAAAGATATTCAAGAGATGGCGAGGGTTCAGAGCCAGAGGCCACTGAGAGATGAGATAGTGATTCTGAAAGTGTAGTCCTGAACTGGTAGTGTCAGCATCACTTTGGAACTTATAAAAACGCAAACTCTTAGTTCCCACCCCAGACATACTGAATCAGAAAGTCTGGTCATGGGATCCAGAAATCTGCATTTCAACAGGCATTCAGGTGATTCTGATGCACACTGAAGTGTGAGGACCATTGGATACAGGATGAGAACTCCAGGAGGCCATTTTGACTCTTGAAAAAGTAATTCTAGTTGGATGAGGCAGGGGAGACGAGGGTACAGGCAAATAGTGACATGAAGACAAGTCTCACTGAGTGAGGATGGGGTTTGGGAGCCAAGAGCTGGGGGTTGGGTCCCTGGGAGCAGAGGTTGAGGTGAACAGAGTGCAACGTTGTGGGAGAGGTCTGGGGCCCTTACCTGGATGACCATGGGCTGCAGCTTCCCATTGGGCTCCATCTTCAGCATAACGAGGGGGGCAGCCAGGTATTGCTTCTCTCCTCGGATCACGTTGGCTGGAATTCCATCCAGAAGGATGAAGTCAGCTTCAAACAGGGAACCATTCTGGGGACAGGAGGGATGTATCCATTTTTAGAGTTCAAAGTCTACCCCCAGGGGGCCGGGGCAAAGGGCAAGAGATTTAGTCTAGCTTCTTGCCATTCTCCTGCATCAGTACCGGAGCCCTGTTGGGAGAACTAGAGCCCCTGGTCCAGTTCCTCTCATCTTAAAGTGAAGAAACAGTCTGGTGAGGGTAGATGTCTTGTGTGTGGATGTGGTGGCAGATCTGGGTTTGGAACCAGGCCTGCTCAATCCAGTTGGCATCACAGGCATTGTAAACTGACCACCTGTCAAATGGCCAGGCCCCTTTCTGATCATTCCCGAATGGTCTGCGCTCTGGTTTTGGCTCCTATCAGCTCAGCAAATGCTCTTTCATTCCCTATTCAAATCTCACATCCTCTGCCAAATATTCCAGAGAGCTTCCCCTACTACCCCTGCCACCGCATACAGCACACACATGCATACGCACACATTTTGCCTAGGCTTGTCCTCAGTACAGTCCATTGCTTCCAAACCCCGCTCTCTTTTTCTAGAAAGCCTCCCCGATTCTCCCCACCTGATGGCACTTCCTCACTTTTCTCCCTGCCCATGAACACTGGAGTCCAGAACACTGCGGCCAGGCAATGTCACTGTTCCTGCTAACATCTCCAGCCCCTCTCTGTGTGCTGGGGATCCATTCTATTTTCCCCTTCCTGCTGGGAGCTCCTCATAGTTTCTTCCCCTACATATTTTATTTCTGTATTTTTCCAGCACAGGACTGCACCAAGGGGCAATGCAGTACTGCAGCCTTCCTCTGACTCAGTTTGGATTCTCTCTGTCCGTTCTCACCACACTACTAAGGAGAGAACAGTGCCAGGCAGGGGAAGGAGAGGTACCTGAAGTTCTTTCTCCAGTTGAGCCTGAAGCTCTTCCATCCCCGAGGGCAGCACTAGCCTGGAGGGCAGAGAGGTCGAGCGTCTCAACAGCATGGGGTTGGCACCATTGAGGAACTGGTAGCTGAACAACTCATCATCCTGCCAGCACTGGCGAACCTTCTCTTTGGTGGGCGGTGAAAGGAGGATATATGTACCACAGCCTGCATATCCCTTCTCCAAAATCTACCCCAGGGGTTCAGGTATATAACCCTCCCTGAACCCAGCTTCTGCGTTTTCATTCTCAAGGCCTCTCTGAGTTGACCAGATATGATAAGGTCTCTTCTTGCAAAGAGTTACGGGGGACTGTGGAGTGTGATGAGTCATCCAGAGGGGCCATTAAGGGATTATGGAGACCTCGGGGAACCACTGACCAGCCAGGGCACTCTTCTGGCCCCAGAAGATCTGATCAAAGTCTTCTAGGCAGTTCCAGGAGCTCAGGAGGGTGTAAACACGTTTGAGGGCCATCTCCAGAGCCCTAGGACAGGTATTGAGGCTTAACTCATCAGCTGATCCCTCAGTCCCTCACCGTCTATCATCATTCTTGGCCCTCCCAGCCCTTATTTCACTCCGAGGTCTAGCCTTTTTCTCACCCTGCCTTCAGTGTCCATTCAAAGTCCAGCCTCTTCTCCTCATGGAATCTCATATTTGGAGGTAGATCATCCTTACGGTCTGCAGCGATGGTCAGGGGTAACCCTTCCTTCCAGGTGGCCCAGCTAGGAGTTGGGGACAAAGCTTCAGGAAGGATGTCATGGTCAGTGATGGGGCCAGGGGCAGGGGCAGGGGCAGGGAAGGGGTGGGACAGTGGTGGCGGGGTTAGTTTAAGGGGTGGGTGGTCACCAGTAGATCTGCTGTCTGTCTTTCAGTTCCTTCTCTCGATGCTTCTGGAACATGTCCAAAGCATTGTCTCCTGGCAGGCGGGCTGGGGAGACATCAAGACAATTGGCCTCACGGCTCTGTCTGGTCCTATGCCCGCCTCTTGTCCTCATCTCCCTGTGGTTAGCCGTATTCCATGTTTTCAGCCATGCACTGTTGCTTTTATCTCTGGCTTTGCCTCATTTGATTATCCACCAGACACGTTTATCCCATCTTTGCCAACTTTGCACTCCTGCTTTCTCTTATTTCAGCCCTCATCCTTTGCCTGTAGATAAAAACCTCCTGTTTGCCACCATTTCTTGCTCCTTCACTCATCTTCCCCTACCTGGCCTTACTTCATCAATATCTATGGTTGGAAAAAAATCACCTTAATTAAGGTGATGAAATCTTAGTCACCTATACACCTACACCTACTGTCTACTACAGATTGCTTTGATTAATTTCACATCTTAAACCTCACCTGCCACGCCTTCACCTGTCCTCAAAAGATTCTACATTTGCTTTTTTTTTTTTAAACCTCATCTTTCTGGATTTACTATCATAATCTGTATCTATGGACTTATTCTGGGTCTTTTCTGCATTTACACTCACCTGTCTCAAAGTCATAGATTTGATGTTCCATCCCTACTGCCCTCACTCATCTCTGGATTCATCTCTCTTTTACTCATTACCCATGGTTAAAAATTCACTATTTGGGCCGGGCGTGGTGGCTCAAGCCTGTAATCCCAGCACTTTGAGAGGCCAAGGAGGGCGGATCACGAGGTCAGGAGATCGAGACCATCCTGGCTAATACGGTGAAACTCCATCTCTACTAAAAAAAATATAAAAAATTAGCCGGGTGTGGTGGGGGGTGCCTGTAGTCCCAGCTACTCGGGAGGCTGAGGCAGGAGAATGGCGTGAACCCAGGAGGTGGAGGTTGCAGTGAGCCAAGATCGCACCACTGCACTCCAGCCTGGGCAACAAAGCAAGACTCCATCTCAAAAAAAAAAAAAAAAAAAATTCACTATTTGCCATCCTCATTCCTCCTCGTCTCCTGCGGGCCAGTGTGCTTCTTGTCTTTCACGGGTGTCTTCCGTGTTATTCCAACCAAACCAGCTCTCCAGCATCCTATGTTTTCTTCCCTTAGCTGTCTGCTCTCACGGGTCACCCACCCCCTCCTGTTCCATGTGGTCCCCTCACCTGACTTCTGAGTCACCTTTACATCTCCTTCCTACTTTCACTTTGCTTCTCTGTTTTCCTGGATCGCTGCAACTCCCACTTTCTGTCTTTGCCTTCTTGGAAGATGGGATCTCCAGATCACTTACTCCCTGCCTCCAGCCTCACACGCAGCCTCTCTTAGCCTGTGTAAAACTTTGGGAATTCATAACTCCTTCCCGTTTTCTGTCCAGCACCCTGGGATCCCTACATTTCACCTGCCCTGGGCCCATACATCCTCTAAGTCTGCTCCGACCGTCCTTAACTCTGCCCTCCTAGCCCCGCAGCAGTTCCCGAGACCTTGTGCCTCCTTCCCCGACGCCGCCTGCTCACCGGTGCCCTCGGGCAGGCTCAGGATGTCCTCGCCCTGCACCCAGCGGTAGCACGGGAAGGCCACCTCCGCGCAGGCTCCAGGGCCCTGCACCGTGATGCGGTCGCAGAACCACGCGTCGTCCACCAGCCAGTGGTGCTTGCGCAGCCTCACGAACTGCAGGAGCCCCAAGTCCTCTGCAACGTCATGATCAAACTCCTCCTCCTGTGCAGGCCGGACCCAGGCCAGACTTAGTAGGAGGGACCCGACTGAGGCCGTTTCGAGGACAGAGCCGCGCTCCTGTGCAACCTCAGTTTCTCAGGGCCTCCAAAGACAGCATCGCCTCGTTCCCGCCCCCGCACAACCTGCTCTTTGGGTCTCAGACGCCCGGAGTCGGGTGGAGGACGAGGGCCCGCAGCGCCTGGAGCTGATGCTGGAGCAGCATCGCCCACGTGGGTCCCATTAACTGAGCTCTCCCCGCGCCGGTTCTTGGAGGAGCTTCACGTCTGACCTCTGGCCTCATACTTACATTGGCTCTGGGTCACTGGGAGAAGGAGCTGGGGGCTGCCGGGACCAGGGGCGGGAAAGGGAGATGGGGTTGAGCCCAGCCCGGGATCCCAGCTGCGGACCCTGTCCCTAATCTTGCCCACCTCGTCCCAGCTTCGTGGAAGTCCCAGTCCGCGAGGTCGCGCTGTCACCTCGCCCCCAGCCTCCCGCCCTCCCGCCGCGAGCCCAGCTCGGCCCGGGCCTGGGCCCGGGGTCCCCGCTGCCCTAGCTCCCCTCGCTCCCCGCGCTGACCTCGCCCCGCGCGGGCCGCAGCTGCAGCTCCAGCTCCGCCTCCCCGCGCGTCCCGACCAGCCAAAGCTGCACGCGGTTGTACGACCCGGAGAAGAGCCAGGCCCCGGTGGCCACGCGGATGCGGTAGCGGCCCATGGCGCCCCCCAGCAGCTTAGGCGAGGGGAGCCGGGTCCTGTGCGATTCCCGGGACCGCCCAGGGCTGCCGGCGCCTCGGGGCCACTTCCAACCTTTAAAGGACCGGTCTGCGGCCCCGCCCTCCTCGCAAGTTTTAGGCGCTCCCAAGTCCCCGCCCCAGACTAGCCCAAACCTGCGAGCAGAGCGGTAGAGCCGGCTGTGGGGACTGGCTGTGCCTCCTGGTCGGAGCGTAGCTGCAGGATGATAAAGGGGCCCGAGCCAGGGTGAGGCCAACGGGGTGGGTGCGGCGGGACCTTCCTGGACCTCCCGGGAAGGCGGGATCGAGGTGGGCCTGAGCCCCCGGGTTGGAGCGAACATAGATGAGAACACTTCCCGAGGTCTCCAGGTCTTCTGGGGAGCCAGGAGGAAGTAGGGGATGAGTCCATCTTCCAAACGGAGGGGAAGGTCTCCGCTTTTCTGGGCTGGGACCCGGGGAAGGCAGTGGGCCGGCTTCTGGAAGGTCGGCCTGGGAGGCCGTGCTGGGGTCTGGGGATGTCCCGCGGCTAGACCCGGCGCGGCCCATGTGTCCTCCAGTACCTGAGCTCTGCCGCCCTTGAACGCTGTGCTTCCGTCAACGACCAGGGGTTCCCCAGGGTACCTAGAACCTGGAAATGTAGCAGCTCAACACCCGCTCCCCACCCCGTTTCAAATATCTGGGCGCTGGGGTCCCAATGTACACCAAATATCATGGGCCAGACCTTTGAGAGAGGCCTGAGGCAGGGCAGTGAAAAACTCATTTTGTCCAACCTCCGAAGCGGGTACAGACAATGTTAGGGACCCAGGAACACCAGTCGGGGTGTTAGGGTGCGGGATGGAATTGCTTAGGGACCTGGCCTACGTGGCCAGTTCCCAAGAACTTTGTCTTTTCCAGGTGAGTGCAGCCCCTTCCGCTCCAGTAGGTTCCAGATTAATTTTTTATCCCCAAGCTCTTTCCTGCTCCTTCATGGGTCTCAGGTCTCCTGGAAATCCAGGAACAGCAATTAGCCCACTGCTATTTAGGGCCTTTGTAAACATTGAAGGATGATTCGGAGCTTAGGCTTTCTCTCCCGTGTCAGGAATCAGTCAGATGAAGCCTGCTGCACGCGTCCCTGTCTAGATCTTGATTCAAGTGATTATATGCATTTGGATCTCCGTGGATGCATCTGGTGGCCTGGGCTAGGCCAGTGTAAGTTAAATCTGCTTTCTTGAGCCAGTCCTCAGAAATGACTTGGTGGCCTAGTTGTTGGTAGAGGTAAGTGAGTGGGAGTTTTAGCCCCGCCTTCCAGCCTCCAGATCAGACTCTATCTCAAAAATAAATAAATAAATAAATAAAAATAAAAAAATAAAGTGTCTGTCCCTTACTGGATTCAATTCCCTTTCTTATCTTCTAGGTCCACTCTGGCCTACATCCTCTGCTCAGGACTGCAGGTCGGCCATTTGCTGGTCCCCAGTTCTTCCAGTTTTCTGGGGTCACCCCATTCTGTAATATCCAAATAAAATGGCTCAAATTCCCATCCTGCCTAATAGTAGGATCTGGCCTTTCCACACACATTTTCGTGGGTTACTTTTGCCTAGAAAAGAGTTTGTCTCATACCTACTTCCAAAAGCACTGTTTCTTTGCTGTTTTGTGACTTATTTTCTGCCCACTCTAGTGTACTCTACGGCCACGTGCAGAGAGAGGGAATGAATAATTGAAAAACCGGATTCAAGCTACTGCGCATGCTAAATGAGTGAATATGGCTAAACAGTGAGAACAGTGCTTGGCGTGTAGTCCCTCTATGTATTAGCTGCTATGATTGTATTATTTACAACTGAATGTTAGCGTTGCTCCTCTACCGTTCCTCTCCGCATGCTATTTCTCCATGTCCCTCTCTAGGCCTAGCCTCTCACTAGAGCTCTTATCACTCTAGACCCTTCCCCCTCCTGCTTTTGTTTCCCTTTTAAGCACATGCGCTATGTTGGGAGAATATAATTAGAAGCAAAATTTTCTCCCAACCCAGAAAAAACCTCTCCACGAAAGTAGTGAAGAAAGAAAACAGTTTTATTATTGAATAAGCATTAAACCAGAATGTGAGCACATCACAGGCAGTTTGCTAAGAGACTGCAAAGACAGAAGGAAGTCTCACTTTTATCTAGCCAAGCAGATACAGCCCATTACATATGTGTTCTCAAGATAAACTATAAATAATCTTTAGGAGGACTCGATAGCACCATTTGTCACATATAGTGCAGTCTAGAGACACCTGGCAATTGTGATGACCATCTATGTTAGCTAACTGGCTTAATCAGAAGAAAAACTTCTCTTTTTTTTTTGAGATAGAGTCTTGCTCTGTTGCCCAGGCTAGAGTGCAGTGGCGTGATCTCGGCTCACTGCAACCTCCACCTCCCAGGTTCAAGCGATTCTCTTGCCTCAGCTTCCTGAGTAGCTGGGATTACAGGTGTGCACCACCAAGCCTGGCTAGTTTTTGTATTTTTAGTAGAGACGAGGTTTTGCCATGTTGGCCAGGCTGGTCTTAAACTCCTGACCTCAGATGATCCACCCACCTCGGCTTCCCAAAGTGCTGGGATTACAGGCGTGAGCCACCATGCCCAGCCAGCTTTTCAGATTTTTATGACAGCAGATAGTTTTGCAGCTCAAGCAAAGTGTCCATTTAAGTTAGTCCTACCCTCCCACAGAAACTGGGAAATGAAGGCTCCATCTTTCTTGGTGTTTACATTTCAAGGAGATGGCTCCTGGGTCTTTGTGAAAGACATCCCTGGGTAGTAAAGCTGGCAAGAGGCTGTGTGGCTTCTAAAAATATTTATACACGTTTTGAAGACACAGAAAATAACTTACAAGTTTTCTGGCTGGGTGCGGTGGCTCACGCCTGTAATCCCCGCACTTTGGGAGGCTGAGGTGGGTGGATCACCTGAGGTCAGGAGTTTGAGACCAGTCTGGCCAACATGGGGAAACCCCATCTCTACTAAAAATACAAAAAATTAGCCAGGCGTGGTAGAGGATGCCTGTAATCCCACCTACTTGGGAGGCTGAGGCAGGAGAATTGCTTGAACCCGGGAGGCGGAGGTTGCGGTGAGCTGAGATTGTGCCACTGTACTCCAGCCTGGGCAACAAGAGTGAGACTTTGTCTCAAAAAAAAAAAAAAAATTTTACAAGTTTTCTAAAGCAAATTTTCTAAGAAAAGAGAGGGTGGAGAAGTCTCTTCCCTTACTTTCAACATGGAGAACTAAGCCTTTAATTTTTTTTTTTTTTGAGATAGAGTCTTGCTCTGTTGCCTAGACGGGAGTGCAATGGCGCTACCTTGGCTCACTGCAATCTCCACATCCTAGGTTCAAGCGATTCTCCTGTCTCAGTCTCCTGAGTAGCTGGGATTACAGGCACGCACCACCATGCCTGGCTAATTTTTGTATTTTTGGTAGAGATGGGGTTTTACCATGTTGGCCAGGCTGGTCTCGAACTCCTGACCTCAGGTGATTCCCGCCCCCCTTGGCCTCCCAAAGTTCTGAGATTACAGGCGTGAGCCACCGCGCCTGGCCAGTGTTTTGTTATAGTAGCCCAAACTGACTAGCAGCCTTTTGTTTTGTTTTGTTTTTAGACAGGGTCTCACTCTGTCACCCAGACTGGAGTGCAAAGGCGCCATCACGGCTCACTGCAGCCTTGATCTCCCAGGTTCAGGTGATTGATTATACTGCCTCAGCCTCCCCAGTAGCTGGGACTACAGGCCCGTGCCAACATGCCCGACTAATTTTTGTATTTTTTGTAGAGATGGGGTTTTGCCATGTTGCCCAAGCTGGTCTCAAACTCTTGGGCTCAAGTGATCCGCTGGCCTTGGCCTCCCTCCCAAAGTGCTGGGATTACAGGGGTGAGCCACTGCACCTGGCCATTTTATTTTTAAATTTTGATTTGTCCCTAACAACTACCATTTTGTTCTTATGTATGCCACAGGAAGGATCAGGGGCTTGATTTTGTCAGCACCCTTTGCAGTAGGAAAGGCCACGTGGGCACACGTGTATGCCAAATGTAAATCTTCTTTCAAACTCCCGATTCCCTGCTGTCTGTGCCAGTAGCCAAGCCAACTCCCACATTCCCATTACCTCTCTTTGCAGAACAATTTACCTTCTGTGTGTGTTTTTTTTTTTTGAGATAGAATCATGATCTTGGCTCACTGCAATCTCTACCTCCCAGGTTCAAGTGATTCTCCTGCCTCAGCCTCCTGAGTAGCTGGGATTACAGGCACCCGCCACCATGCCTGGCTAATTTTTATACTTTTAGTAGAGATGGGGTTTTGTCTTGTTGGGCAGGCTGGTCTCGAACTCCTGACCTCAGGTAATCTGCCCTCCTCGGCCTCCCAAAGTACTGGGATTACAGGCGTGAGCCACCGTGCCCGTCCCAGGCTCCACTTCTAATTCTAGTTCTCTTTCAATTTCTACTACATCTGCAGTTAGTTCCTCCAAGAAGTCTTGAACCCCTTGTAGTCATCCATAAGGGTTGGAATCAACTTCTTCCAAACTCCTGTTATGTTGATATTTTGGCTTCCTCCATTGAATCATGAATTTTCTTTTTTCTTTTTCTTTTTTCTGAGACTGAGTCTTGCTCTTGTTGCCCAGGCTGGAGTACAGTGGCACAATCTCTGCTCACCGCAACCTCCACCTCCTGGGTTCAAGCGATTCTCCTGCCTCAGCCTCCCGAGTAGTTGGGATTACAGGTGCCCGCCACCACGCCTGGCTAATTTTTGTATTTTTAGTAGAGATGGGTTTCAGGCCAGGTGCGGTGGCTCACACCTGTAATCCCAGCACTTTGGGAGGCTGACGCAGGTGGATCATGTGAGATCAGGAGTTCAAGACCAGCCAGGCCAACGTGGTGAAACCCTGTCTCTACTAAAAAATACAAAAATTAGCTGGGTGTGGTGGTGGGTGCCTGTAATCCCAGCTACTTGGGAGGCTGAGGCAGGAGAATTGCTTTAACCTGGGAGTGGAAGTTGCAGTGAGCCGAGATCATGCCACTACACTCCAGACTGGGCCACTCAGTGAGACTCTGTCTCAGGAAAAAAAAAGACGGGGTTTCACCATGTTGGCCAAGCTGGTCTCGAACTCCTGACCTCAGGTGATCCGCCTGCCTCAGCCTCCCAAAGTGCTAGGATTACAGGCATGAGCCACAGTGCCTGGCCTCAATCATGAATTTTCTTAATGGCATCTAAATGGTGACTCCTTTCTAGAAGGTTTTCAGTTCATTTTGCCCAGATCTATCTATGGCAGCTATATAGCCTTATGAAATGTATTTGTTTCTTTGTTACTTTATTATTATTATTATTTTAAATTTTAGAGCCAGAGTCTCTGTTGCCCAGGCTAGAGTACAGTGGTGTGATCATAGCTCACTGCAACCCTGAGCTCCTTGGTTCGAGTGGGCCTCCTGGCTCAGCCTTGTGAGTAGCTAGGACTGCAGGTGCACACCACTGCATTGGCTAATTTTTAAATTTTTTGTAGAGAGATGAGGTTGCACTATGTTATTATGTTATTCAGCTTGTTTTGAATACCTGGGCTCAAGTGATCCTCCTGCCTTGACCTCCTAAAGCACTGGGATTACAGGAATGAGCCACCATGTCTGGGCCCCTGTTTATTTTTATTTATTTATTTATTTATTTAGACAGAGTCTTGCTCTGTTGCTCAGGCTGGAGTGCAATGGTGTGATCTCGGCTCACTGCAACCTCCTCCTCCTGGGGTCAAGTGATTCTCCTGCCTCAGCCTCCCCAGTAGCTGGGATTACAGGCACCTGCCATCACGCCCAGCTAAGTTTTGTATTTTTAGTAGAGACGGGGTTTCACCATGATGGCCAGGCTGGTCTCTAACTCCTGACCTCAGGTGATACACCTGCCTCGGCCCTGTTTTTTAAAATAATTACAGTGACAGGTCAAAATTACTCCTGATCCTTGGGCTGCAGAATGAATGATGTGTTAGCAGTCACGAAAACAGCATTAATCTCCCTGTACATCTCCATCAGAGCTCTTGGGTGACCAGGTGCATTCTCCATGAACAGTCATTTTTGAAAGGAATGTTTTTGTGAGCAGTAGGTATGAACAGTGGGTTTAAAATATTTAGTAAATCATGATGTAAGCAGATGTGTCATCCAGGCTTTGTTGTTCCATGTAAAGACACAGGCAGAGTAGATTTAGCCAAGTTCTCAAGGGCCCTAGGCTTTTCAGAATGATAAATGGGCACTGGCTTCAGCTTAAAGTCACCAGCTGCATTAGCTTCTCATGAGAGTCAGCTTGCCCTCTGAAGTTTTTTTTTGTGTTGTTTTTGAGACAGAGTCTCGCTTTGTCACCCAGGCTGGAGTGCAGTGGCACGATTTTGGCTGACTGCAACCTCCGCCTCCCAGGTTCAAGTGATTCTCCTGCCTCAGCCCCCCGAGCAGCTGGGACTACAGGCATGTGCCACCATGCCTGGCTAATTTTTGTATTTTTAGTAGAGATGGGGTTTCACCATGTTGGCCAGGCTGATCTCGAACTCTTGACCTTGTGATCCACCTGCCTCAGCCTCCCAAAGTGCTGGGATTACAGGTGTGAGCCACTGCGTCCAGCCTTCCTTTGAAGTTTTGAAGGCAGGTATTGACTTCTCCTCTCCAGCTATGAAAGTCCTAGATGGTATCTTCCTCCAATATAAGACTTTAAACTACAATGAAAATCCGTTGTTTAGTGTTGCCACCTTCTTCAGTGATCTTAGCTGGATCTTCTGGATAACTTGCTGCAGCTTCTCCATCAGCACTTGCTGCTTCACCTTGCACTCTTATGTTATGGAGATGGCTACTTTCCTTAAACCTCATGAGCCAACTCTGCTAGCTTCCTGCAGCTTCCTTATCTCTCTCACCCTTAACAGATTTGAAGAAAGTTCGAGCCTTGTTCTGGATTAGGCTTGGTTTAAGGGAATGTTGTGGATGGTTTAATCTTCTATCCGGACCACTAAAACTTTCTCCATATCAGTAATAAGGCTATCTCACTTTCTTTTTTTTTTTTTGAGATGGAGTCTTGCTCTGTCACCAGGCTGGAGTGCAGTGGTGCCATCTTGGCTCTCGGCAACCTTCACCTCCTGGGTTCAAGCGATTCTCCTGCCTCAGCCTCCCAAGTAGGTGGACTACAGGCGAGCGCCACTACGCCCAGCTAATTTTTGTATTTTTAGTAGATACCATGTTTCACCATATTGGCCAGGGTGGTCTCGATCTCTTCACCTCGTGATCCGCCCACCTTGGCCTCCCAAAGTGCTGGGATTACAGGCATGAGCCACTGCGCCTGGCCAGTGAAGGCTTTTGTGATGAGTTAAAACATGGTGGAAAAGGTCAAAGGGGAAATGAGCACCTGCGAAGAGGATCCAAACCCAAGGGGCACCCTGGCTTTATAACAACACACACTCATGGGAATGAATTCATTTCCCCGAGAATCAATCCAGGCTCATGAGAGTGAGAACTCACTACTGTGAGAAGCACACCAAGCCACTCATGAGGGGTCCAGCCCCATGACCCAAACACCTCTCACTAGGCCCTACCTCCCAATACTGCTACACTGGGGATTACATTTCCTCTTTTTTTTTTTTTTTTTTTTTTGAGATAGGGTCTCACTCTGTTGCCCAGGCTGGAGTGCAGTGGTGCAGTCTCAGGTCGCTGCAGCCTAGACTTCCCTGGGCTCAAGCGATCCTCCCACCTCAGCCTCTCTAGTAGCTGGGACTACAGGTGTGTGCCACCATGCCTGGCTAATTTTTTTTTTTTGTAGAGACAGGGTCTCACCATGTTGCCGAGGCTGGTCTCTAATGCCTTGACTCAAGCAACCTGCCCACCTTGGCCTCCCAAAGTACTGGGATTACAGGCATGAGCCACCGCTACCAGTTGGGGATTAAATTTCAACATGACATTTGATGGGGACAAACAAAAAAAAACCATATCCAAACCATAGCATTGACTATAGTTAATAATAATGTATGGTATACTGGAAATGTGCTGAAGTGTTCTCAGCACAATGGAAAAAAGGTAACTATGTGAGGTGATGAATATATGAATTAGCTTGATTGTGGCAATCATTTCAAATTGTAGGCATATAGTAAACATCACGTCATACACCCTAAAATAGCCAACTTTTATTTGTCAGTCATACCTCAGTAAAGTTGGGAAAAAGGCTTTGGCTGATTATAAACAGTTCTGGTGAAACACATCATTCAGTATTGCTACGTCCTAGGCAAGGGCTGCTAATGTGCTCTTATGAGGGAATGCTGGGTGAAAGAGTATGTGTGTGTGGGCACACAGAGTGTGTTTGTGATATTACAGAGAATAGAGTCAGTGGAGAGATGGAGGCAGAGTGCATTTTGGAGTGTAGCATGCCTTTTGAGAAATAGGGCTGTGAAGGTAACAAACAGAAGGCCAGAGCTGGAGATGGGTAGTCAGTAGAGCTAGTGAGAGGGACAGGTTAAGATGCTGGAGGCCTTGGGTGTAAGTGATGAGGGGAAGATCCCGAGGGAGGAGATAAAATCTGGAGAATGCGTGGAGGAACTGGCCTTACATCTGCATTTTCCCATCCAAGTACTAACCAGGCCTGGCCCTGCTTAGCTTCTGAGATCCGATGAGATTGGATGTGTTCAGGGTGCTATAGCCGTAGACAGATCGTGCATTCTCAGAGTGGGCAACCACATCTTAGATATTGCAATGATTCGTGGCCCTCGAAAGGGTCAGAGTACACAAACATATATTAAGGGGTTAAAATTTCACAAGGTAGCAGGAGCGGGGAGCAATTAGGAAAAAATGCCTTAGGGCCAGGCATGGTGGCTCACACCTGTAATTCTCAGCACTTTGGGAGGCTGAGGCGGGCGGATCACCTGAGGTTGGGTGTTTGAGACCAGCCTGGCCAACATGGAGAAACCCCCGTCTCTACTAAAAATACAAAATTAGTCGGGCGTGGTGGTGCATGCCTGTAATCCCAGCTACTTGGGAGGCTGAGGCAGGAGAATCACTTGAACCTGGGAGGCGGAGGTTGCAGTGAGCTGAGATTGTGCCATTGCACTCCAGCCCAGGTAACAAGAGTGAAACTCTTTCGCAAAAAAAAAAAAAAAAAAAAAAGTCATAAAGGCTCCATAAGGGGGCAATGATGGAAAAAAGTAGAGGAACATGGCCTGAAGTAAGAGAGACAATTCTTCCTTCGTAATAGGAAACAAAGCAAAACAAATGGAATTGGCAGCAAATCAACTTGAAAATGACGTGTGGGGAAATATCCCATTTGATGAATTGCATTTTCTTTGTGAAGTGCTTGGCAAGGATCTGGCTTCTGAGGGTCAAGGAAGTTGTAGGGGCATTTCAGAGATAGAAGGAGAGTGGAGAAAGTTTGAATAGACTCTGAGGGCATAAGAGAGAGAGCTGAATGAGGGGCTGGGATAGGAATGCTTGGCATGGCTGAGACACTAGGTGAAAATTGGTGATCATGAATTTACCGCCTGAACGCATGCACCTGAACGTCTTCCATTCACTTATTCTGGAGCTGGCTCTACTCGACATTTCCTTTTTTTAATTTTTTTTTTTTTGAGACAGGGTCTCACTGTGTCACCCACACTGGAGTGCAGTGGTGCGATCTCGGCTCACCGCAACCTCCGCCTCCCAGGCTCAAGCGGTTCTTCTGCCTCAGCCTTCTGAGTAGCTGGGAGTACAGGCATGCAAAACCATGCCCAGCTAATTTTTGTATTTTTAGTAGAGACGGGATTTCACCATGTTGGCCAGGCTGGTCTTGAACTCCTCACCTCAAGTGATCCACCTGCCTCAGCCTCCCAAAGTGCTGGGATTACAGGCGTGAGCCACCACACCCGGCCTCTAACATTTCCGTAAAGAGATTGGGAGGCCCATCCTGGCACCCCCCTTCAAGCCCCCACTGCTAGACTAGTCTTCAGGGACACAACACCCAACCCTCGGACTCTCCTTTCAGGACCCAGCTGGAAGACCAGCCAGAGTATTTTGTATTTTTCATTCTATCTGGAAGAAGCTCAGCTAAAAGAACAGTTGAGCTGTAGGGTCCAACAGTGGGCATGAGGGGCAGCAAAACTTCACCCCTTCTCTGGGATCCCCGGCAACACCCCGTCACTATTCCATGCTCTGTTTATTTTTCTCTTTGCTCTAAGGTTTACCTTGTAATCCTTCATTGTTCAAATCGCTGTCACTGATTGATAGAGAATTTTCATGTCTTGCCTGCTGCTGATGGTGTCTTTGTTCCACCCTGAGCTGATCCCTATTTGGCAGCTATCATTAACACAGAGCTGGTCCATGTCACAGACTTTTCCTGAAGGTTTAGAAGGGCAGGGACCAGGGTGAAACTAGCGAGGCACTTTCCTTGAGTGCCACATTTAAGGGGGCACCAAAAACTCAGTGCTCAAAATAAATAACGATTTAATGCAATATTTAAAACACCAAAATGAATGGAAGAAATCCATAATGAACAAACTATTAGAATTTTAAATAAGAACAGGATCAACTGTAAAGCTTGATATTAGCCATCTATCATCTTCCTAACATACTTTTCTTTCTTTCTTTCTTTTTTTTTCAGAGACAGCATCTCGTATGTTGCCCAGGCTGGCCTTGAAAGCCTGGCCTCAAGCCATCTTCCTGCCTCAGCCTCCCAAGTAGCTGGGATCACAGGGTTGTGGCATCACAGCTGGCTATATTCTTAACATTATTTTGTAACCATTCCAACCCCCAGAAATTTCTCTCTGGCTGACTTGATCCACAGCGCCTCCATCGCCATCCCTGAGTGCCTTGTTGTGGAAAATCTTACTTTATCTTGGTTCTGTTTGGTATAATCGGGGAAAGTCTGTATTCTTTCATTATGTAAAACAACTTATCTCTCATTGTTTCATCTCCTTTCTGAGCTCTGCTCTGCCAGCTCTCTTTCCAAAACCAAAATGGCTCTTCAAGTTATTTTGTAAATAATAATGGGCCATCTACTTCTTAACATAAATGAATGATTTTCCAAGGTCAAGTTCTCTGGTTTCACTGACTTCTCCACCAGTGTCTGTAAACTGAAAAATGCAGATTGACTCTCTTAAGATTCATACATTGCCTTCCTACCCTCAAGAACAATTGGCTACAGTCAGGGCTGTGTGTGTGTGTGTGTGTGTGTGTGTGTATGATTTTGATGGAAGCAAGAAAAGTAATGTGTTCAATTTAATCCCACAAAACCCTAAGTAGTAGATATTATTTATCTCTTTAACAAATGAAGGGATACACTTCATTTATTCCTTCTTTAGTTTCTTCATTAATGGCCTTGAAATCCTAGGCTCACCTGATCCTCCCACCTGAGCCTCACGAGTTGCTGGCACTACAGGCCCTCACCACCATGCCAGGCTAATTATTTTTTTATTTTTATTTTTTGTAGAGACAAAGTCACCCTATGTTGCTCAGGCTGGTCTTGAACTCCTGGCCTCAAGTGATCCCCCTATCTTGGCCTCCCACAGTGTTGGGATTATAGGTGTGAGCCGATGTGCCTGGGCATATATGTTTATTGTGCACCTAGCGTACACACACATGCACGTGGCATTAGTCTTTGTTCCAGTCATTTTCTGAGAAGGAGTGTTTAAGAGGTACATTTTTTGACATCTTGCATATTTGAAACTGTCTCTATTCAACTTAAACTTGATGGTAATTTGCCTAAGACTAGAATCCTGGATGGGAAATAAACTTCTCTCAAAGTTTTGAAGGTATGTTTGTTAGTAAAGGTATAGGCTAAGCTCTGTAACAAACCTCCCCCAAATACAGTGACTTAAACATCTGATTAATAGTTTCTATACTGGCCGGGCCTGGTGGCTCACACCTGTAATCCCAGCACTTTGGGAGGCCAAGGCGGGTGGATCACGAGGTCAGGAGTTCAAGATCAGCCTGGCCAAGATGGTGAAACCCCGTCTCTACTAAAAACTACAAAAATTAGCCAGGCGCGGTGGTGGGCCCCCGTAATCCCAGCTACTTGGGAGGCTGAGGCAGGAGAATCGCTTGAACCCGGGAGGTGGAGGTTGCAGTGAGCTGAGATGGTGCCACTGCACTCCTGCCTGGGCTACAGAAAGAGACTCCATTAAAAAAAAAAAGACTTCCTATATTGTCATTGTCTCTAATAATCTCCACCTCTCTCTCTCTCTCTCTTTTTTTTTTTTACCACTTTCTTGGAAATTTCCACCTCTTCTATTGAATTAAAACTTTTTTTTGCTATTGAACATTTTCTGTCTTGTTCTGTGATTGTTGCTTTCAGAAAACATCCTGCTTTTGTTTCAAAGATGCTAATCTTCTCTAGTATTTCTGAACATAGTAAATATAGTTTAAAAAATCTGTTTCTTCATTATTCCTATTTTCTCTGAGTCCCTCTTTTTAAATATCTGTTGATCCTTGATTTTTTTTTTTTTTTGAGACTGGCTCTGTTGCCAGGCTAGAGTGCAGGGGCGCGATCTCGGCTCACTGCAACCTCCATCTCCTGAGTTCAAGCAGTTCTCCTGCCTCAGCTGGGATTACAGGCATGTGCTACCACGCCCAGCTAATTTTGTATTTTTAGTAGAGACGGGGTTTCACCATGGTGGCCAGGCTGGTCTCGAACTCCTGACCTCAAATGATCCACCCGCCTCAGCCTCCCAAAGTGCTGGGATTACCGGCGTGAGCCACCGCTCCCGGCCCCTGATCCTTGACTTTATTTAAGAGTGAGGCAATAAAAAAAGATAATCCGGACTGTTGGTGGGGTTTTTCAATGTAATGAGCAGAGATCTGGTCAATTGATAATTGACACGGTTCCTCCCACAGTCAGTATTTGTAGGTCTTTTCTATTGGGATGCTTGGTTTCTTCGGAGACCAACCTTCTAATTTCCCTTTTGGGGTGTAGATGCCCAACCATCAGCATTATTGGCAGTATTTGAAGAGGACTGGGGAGTCACCATTCAGTGTGTTGCTTTTGTTACATTTTCTTTTGTTCCACAGGGCACATTTACCTGATGTCCGAAGTCCAGCGTCCCCCTCTGCTCTAGCAGACGATAAACTTCTAGTCTTCTGCTGGAGAGGAGGGAGAATTGCCTGACTTAGTGGATGATAAAGGAATATGGGGGCCATTTGCTTTTTATATGGACTTTCTTTTGTTTGTTTGTTTTTTTGAGACGAAGTCTTGCTCTTGTCCCCCAGGCTGTAGTGCAGTGGTGCGATCTCTGCTAACTGCAACCTCTGCCTCCTGGGTTCAAGCAATTTTCCTTCCGCAGCCTCCCGAGTAGCCGGGATTACAGGTGCTCGCCACCACGCCCAGCTAATTTTTGGTATTTTAAGTACAGACAGAGTTTCACCATGTTGGCCAGGCTGGTCTCAAACTCCTGACCTCAGGCAATCCACCCGCCTTGACCTCCCAAAGTGCTGGGATTACAGGCGTGAGCCACCGCGCCTGGCCTTTATGTAGACTTTCAATCAATTCTACTGTGTTCAGCCTCATGTGTACCCCTACCTTCAGTAGTTATTGGTACAGTAGCCCCCTTTTTCTAGTGGGGAGACCTTCTAACTTCCAAGATCCCCAGTGGATGCCTGAAGCCATAGACATACCAAATCTATAGATACAGTCAGCCCTCCTTATCCATGGGGGCAGAACCCATAGATCCCAACCCACCGTGTATCGAAAATATTAGAAAAAATTTGCATCTGCACTGACCAGAATTCAAAATTTTTGAATTTTTCCTGTCATTATTTCCCAAATAATATAGTATTACAACTTTCCATATAGCATTTACATCATATTCGGTATTATAAGTAATCTAGAGATGGTTTAAAGTGTATGGGATGATGTGTATAAGTTAAATGCAAATACTGCACCATTTTATACAGCATTTGAGGATTCAGCATCTGAGGATTTTGGTACAAGAGAGGGGGGACTTGTCTTAGACTGTAGGAGGTCCTGAAACAGTCTCCGCCTGGATACTGAGGGATACAGTACTAGATTTTTTCCTATATCGTACATACATCTCTATGACAAGGTTTAATATATCAATTAGGCCTAGTAAGAGATTAAGAACATTAGGAATAAACAAATATAAATGCAAATTAAAAATAAAGAAAAAACTATAAAAATAATTAGCTGGGCATGGTGGCGGGCACCTGTAGTCCCAGCTACCTGGGAGGCTGAGGCTGGAGAATCGCTTGAACCCTGGAGGTGGAGGTTGCAGTGAGCGAGATCATGCCATTGCACTCCAGCCTGGGTGACAGAGCGAGACTCCATCTCAAAAAAAAAAAAAAAAAAAAAAAAAAGAAGCAAAAAAGAAAACTGAAAAAAGAGGGGAGCAACAACAACTAATATAAAATAGAATAAAATAGAATATAATAGAACAATTGTGACAATCTAACTATAATAAAAGTTGGGTGAATGTGGCCTTTCTCAAAATATCTGATTGTGCTGTGCTCACCTATTTTTGGGCTGTGGCTGACTGCAGGAAACAGAAACCAGGGAAAGCAAAACCACAGATGAGGGGAAACGGCTGTACTCCCCTTCCTGAGTCTTTCTAAGGGTTTGTGCTTATTGCTTTTCCTACATACTGCAAGCATTTGACTTTTAACTTTCCCTGGTCTGCTGAATTGATTACCCCTTGTTTATCTGCTTTCAGCTTCCAAAATATAGATGCCATTTCTTTCTTTCTTTCTTTTTTTTTTTTTTTCTTGAGACGGAGTTTCGCTCTTGTTGCCCAGGCTGGGATGCAATGGTGTGATCTCGGCTCATTGTAACCTCCGCCTCCTGGGTTCAAGCCATTCTCCTGCCTCAGCCTCCCAAGTAGGTGGGATTACAGGCATGTGCCACCACGCCTGGCTAATTTTGTATTTTCAGTAGAGACACGGTTTCTCCATTGTTGGCCAGGCTGGTCTCGAACTCCTGAACTCAGGTGATCCACCCGCCTCGGCCTCCCAAAGTGCTGGGATTACAGGCATGAGCCACCGCGCCCAGCCAGATGCCATTTCTCATATACTTGTGTATCTTTGCAACTCTCTTTGTATTGGTGGGCTTATGTCTTCCTTTTTAACCCATCAACTGGCATTTTAGTGGGGAGGGAGGAGAGTGAAGAAGGGAGCATTTGTTCATTCCTTCATGATTAACTGCAAAACATTATTTCTTTAAATAGTGCCTTCCCCCCATTTTTCTAGTCCCTCCTTTTTGAACTGTTGGAAGCTGATTAGAACTTCTGGACCTGTTCTCCATGTTTTTCAATGTTTCTTCCTCACATTACAAAGCCTTATTCTATGTGGTGCACTTTCAGAGAACTCCTTAGCTGAGTCCTCCAATTCACAAGTTGGCTCTTCAGCTCTGTCCATCCTGCCATTGAGTTTTAATTTCAACAGTTATCTTTTTTTTTTTTTTTTGAGACGGAGTCTTGTTCTGTTGCCCAGGCTGGAGTGCAGTGGTGTGATCTCGGCTCACTGCAAGCTCTGCCTTCCAGTTCACGCCATTCTCCTGCCTCAGCCTCACGAGTAGCTGGGACTACAGGCGCCCGCCACCACGTCTGGCTAATTTTTTGTATTTTTAGCAAAGACAGGGTTTCACCGTGTTAACCAGGATGGTCGCGATCTCCTGACCTCGTGATCCGCCCGCCTCGGCTTCCCAAAGTGCTGGGATTACAGGCGTGAGCCACCGTGCCTGGCCAAATTTCAACAGTTATCATTTTTTACTTTGAAGATCACTAATTGCTTCATTTAGTAACTTCCAGTTCTTGTTTCATGATTATACTACCCACACTTACCTCTTGGAAGATATTCATTATACTTATTTTTAAAGTCATATCCTGATACCTTATTAATTTATTGGGTGTAAGTTCCTCCAATTTTTTGACTTTGTTTCTCTCTTATGGTGTTAGGAACTTCTCAACTGTTTGGTGAGCCTTTTTTTGGGGCACAGCTGTTTACAGTTGATGTTATTTACTAGACTGTCTGCTGTCTTGGCTTTCACAGCTCAGTTGGGGAGAGGGTGCTGCCACTGCTGTCAGGGTTACACCTTGTATTTATTTTCTTTTTTAAAAAAATTAAATTAAGTTATTTGAGTTTCTGGGGTACATGTGCAGGATGTGCAGGTTTGTTACATGGGCAAATGTGTGCCATGTCATAATGGTGATTATTTAAAAGTTAAGAACAAATGCTGGTGAGGTTGCGGAGAAATAGGAATGCTTTTACACTGTTGGTGGGAATGTAAATTAGTTAAACTATTGTGGAAGACAGTGTGGTGATTCCTCAAAGGTTTAGAACCAGAAATACCATTTGACCCACCAATCCCATTACTGAGTATATTCCCAAAGGAATATAAATCATTCTGCTATAAAGATACATACACACATATGTTCATTGCAGCACTGTTCACAATAGCAAAGACATGGAGTCAACCCAAATGCCCATCAATGATAGACTGGATAAAGAAACTGTGGTATATACACCACGGAATACTATGCAGCCATAAAAAGGAACAAGATCATGTCCTTTGCAGGGACACAGATGAAGCTGGAAACCATTATCCTCAGCAAACTAACTCAGGAAGAGAAAACCAAACATCGCATGTTGTCACTTGTAAGTGGAAGCTCAATAGTGAGAACATGTGGACACAGGGACGGGAACAACACACATTGGGGCCTGTCAGGAGAGGGCGGAGGTTGCGGGGAGAGCATTAGGAAAAAGAGCAAATGCATTGCTGGGCATAATACCTAGGCAATGGGTTGATAGGTATTTATTTTCTTTCTTTTTTTTTTGAGATGGAGTCTCGCTCTGTCGCCCATGATGGAGTGCAGTGACGCCATTCAGCTCACTGCAAGCTCCGCCTCCTAGGTTCACGCCATTCTCCTGCCTCAGCCTCCTGAGTAGCTGGGACTACAGGTGCCTGCCACCACGCCTGGCTAATTTTTTGTATTTTTTAGTAGAGACGAGGTTTCACCATGTTAGCCAGGATGGTCTCGATCCCTGACCTCGTGATCTGCCCTCCTTGGCCCCACAAAGTGCTGGGATTACAGGCGTGAGCCACCGCGCCCGGCCGATAGGTATTTGTTTTCCCTGAAAGTTGGGAGTGGGTGGGTTGGGCTGCTTGTGAGGTGTATGGGAGGCGTGTGTGCTGGGTGTGACGGCTCCATACTCCCTGTGGAGTGCTTCCTGTGGTTACCACGCCTCAGGGCATGCTCTTGCTTCCTCCTGAGGGAGAAGTCTTCTATGTATTCCTGCAGGTACTGTAGGCTACAGTTCCCCTTTCCATCTAACCTAGTATTGATGAAGGGCAGGATCTTGGCTTTGCTCGGGAAAGAATTCAAGAGCAAGCCAGTGCTGGAAGAAAACAACTTTACTGAGGAGGCGGCTGTGTCACAGCTCTGTGACCGCTCCCGGGGAGCAGGACTACAGCGGAGGCAATCCGAGAGGACAGTGCAGGGTGGTGTGCAGCCATATTTATGCCCACTTTTAGTGACATGCTAATTAAAGGGGCACGTTATTCAGGAATAGCTAGGAAATGGGCAGTAACTTCTGGGTGTTGCTGTGGCAATGGTACATTGTCATGGTGCTGATAGGAGTGTCTTACGGTGATGGGCAGTGAGAGGTTCTTTCAGCCCCTCTACTGGTTTCGGTCAGTTTTGTTTTGTCTTTTTTTTTTTTTTTTTGAGATGGACTCTCTCCGTCGCTCCGACTGGAGTGTAGTGGTGCGGTCTTGGCCCACTGCAACCTCCGCCTCTTGGATTCAAGTGATTCTCCTCGCTCAGCCTCCTGAGTAGCTCGGATTACAGGCATGAACCACCACGCCTGTCTCATTTTTGTATTTTTAGTAGACACAGGGTTTCACCATATTGGCCAGGCTGGTCTCGAACTCCTGACCTCAGGTGATCTGCCCACCTCGGCCTCCCAAAGTGCTGGGATTACAGGCGTGAGCCACCATGCCCGGCCTTCAGTCAGTTTCAATCTGGTCTGGAGACGAGTCCCACCTGCCTCCTACCTCAGTATGATTTCTGTCTTTCAGCATGTTCTCTCTCCCCAGTCCAGCAAGCATTTCTGGTTTTTGAGCATAATTATTAATTTATTAATAATATGCTTCTGTTGTTTGTGTGGTTAGAATTTGGTGTAGAAGGGTAGACTGCAGTATCTATTAGTTCATCATCTTATAACCAGTATTGGATATTTTGTTCTTCTTCTCCTTTTTTTTTTTTTTTTGAGACAGGGTCTCACTCTGTCACCTAGGCTGGAGTGTGGTGATGTGATCATAGCTCACTGCAGCCTCAATCTCCTGGCCTCAAGTGATCTTCCTGGCTTAGCCTCCCAAGTAGCTGAAACCATAGGCAGGCATCACCACGCTCAGCTAATTTTCTTATTTTTGTAGAGATGGGGTCAACCTATGGTTACCCAGGCTGGTCTCCAACTCCTGGACTCAAGGGATCCTTCCGCCTCAGCCTCCCAAAGTGCTGGGATTACAGGCATGAGCCACCGCACCTGGCCAGATATTTTATTTTACATCAAATCCCCTTGCGTTGGTGACGGAAAAGATTTATTTTAAAACAGTTTTGTCATTCTCAAATTATGAATCAAAGAAGCAAAAAGTAGTTTAACTCATATATCCTGCTTCACCAGTTTGTTACAAAATTAGGTTACACTCCTTTTAATATTTAAACAATTCTGTGCCTCCACCCTGACTACTAGAATATGTTCTTTTCCATTCTCCAGGATCCTTCTTCCGTGATGTTCGCTAACAGCTCTACAGTACTTACTTTGGGCCAGACATTTTTCTAAGTGCTTTTTACATATAATAACTCATAACAACTCCGGATTCCTTAGAGAGGCTTGTTAAGTTTTATGGGTTAGCACTTCTTATTATCTTTGGAAGAACAAAGCCTGAAAACCTGCTCAGTCAGCCAGAGATTCCTGTTCTCTTTGGCTGTTGTTGCTTTTACTCACATATGATATTTCCGGTGAATCTCAGGGTGTCCTACTATTTTTCTGCTAGTCTACTGCTAGGAGAGTAGGTCCCCATTGAACACTGGTCAATGAGAGTATCACATCTTCTTGGACAGTGATTGGTTCAAAGATGGACATATGGTCCAAGATGGGCTAATCAGAGCTAACGAGGCTTTTTCTGGGGCTTTGATGGAAATAGAATGAAATCTTTGTGTTTCCATGGTGGCTGCCAAGCTGGTAGACTACAGGCCTGTTGACTCCAGTGACCCTCTTGGAGAAAGCCTGTCAGAGAATAAAGCCAACAGACAGGAAAGCAAATTGAGGTCACGGAGAGGGAGCAAGAGAGTGAGCCTTCGTCCTGATGATATTCTTTGAACCCCCTGATGCAGCCATGCCTGAGGTCAGACTAACCCTGACCTTTTATGTTATAGGAACCAATAATTTCCTTTTATTTTTATTGTTCTTTTTTTCTGTTTCCCTCCAACTTAGGTGAGACAAGAATGCCTATTTTATTTTATTTTGGTATTTTTTATTTTTTTGAGATGGAGTTTCACTCTTGTTGCCCAGGCTGGAGTGCAGTGGTGCAACCTTGGCTCACTGCAACCTCCGCCTCCCTGGTTCAGGTGATTCCCCTGCCTCAGCCTCCTGAGTAGCTGGGATTATAGGCATGTGCTACCCTGCCCGGCTAATTTTGTATTTTTAGTAAAGACAGGGTTTCGCCATGTTGGCCAGGTTGGTCTCGAACACCTGACCTCAGGTGATCCACCCACCTTGGCCTCCCAGACAGCTGGGATTACAGGTGTAAGCCACTGCACCAGCCTAAAAATGCCTATTTTTAAAAGCCACTTTGAATTCACTTTCTGTTACACGTAGACAAAAGAGTCCTGAGTAAGGCCAGAGGTGAGGCAGAGGTACGGTCTCTAGGCTGGAGCACCTGGGCAGCTGTAGACTGTGGCTAAAAAACTACTGACTTCAAACAATGTACCAGCCTGTGAGTGGCGTTCTTCCTGGCAGTCCAGGATTTGTGCAAGTGAGTTTGCATGTGGAGTGAATTTCTTGCTATCCTCATACCTGGGTTTTTTTTTTTTTTTTTTTTTTGAGACAGAGTTATGCTCTTGTTGCCCAGGCTAGAGTGCAATGGTGGCATCTCAGCTCACTGCAACTTCCACCTCCCAGGTTCAAATGATTCTCCTGCCTCAGCCTCCCGAGTAGCTGGGATTACAGGCATGCACCACCATGCCTGGCTAATTTTTTTTTTTTGTATTTTTAGTAGAGATGGGGTTTCTCCATGTTGGTCAGGCTGGTTTGAACTCCCGACCTCAGGTGATCCGCCCACCTCGGCCTCCCAAAGTGCTGGGATTACAGGCGTGAGCCACCGCGCCCAGCCACTGGGTCCTTTTTGTGGGGATATTTTCTCGAAATTGCTGGGACCTTCAACCCTCAGGGGTGGGAAGTTGGCATCTCCTAGGTTTTTTTTTCATATTTCTATGGGTGAGTCAGCCAGGATAAAGGTCAATGCATTTGAGTATGAGAAGACTGCCTAGTGATGGCCTTATAGTTTCATGTTGACTCACTATTTAATATTTCTTTTAAAATTTTTCATGTAGTTGGAAGTAGTCATCCCCTTTTTTTCTGGATAATTTATTATTATTATTATTATTATTATTATTATTATTATTTTATTATTATTATCTTGGTTCCTGCCTATTAATCTTAGGAGGGATAGAAGACAGTTGTGTTAGCATTAGTCTGCTTTGTGTTGCTATTAGGGAATACCTGAGGCTGGGTAATTTATAAACAAAAGAGGTTTATTTGGCTCACAGTTCTGCAGGCTGTGTAAGAAGCATAGTGCCAGCTTCTGCTTTTGGTGAGGGCCTCAGGAAGCTTCCAATCATGTTGGAAGGCAAAGGGAGAGCAGGCATGTCATATGGCAAGAGAGCAAGCAAGAGAGAGTGAGCAAGAAGGTATCACAAGCTTTGAAACAACCAGATCTTGTATGAACTCATTACCACTCATTACTTCAAGGATGGCACCAAGCCATTCACTAGGGATCTGCGCCTATGACCCAAACACCTCCCAGTAGGCCCACCTCCAACACTGGGGGTCACATTTCAGCATGAGATTTGGAGGGGCCGGATATTCAAATCATATCGACAGTTCTGTCCACCAGCTCCCAGAGGAGGTCCTTTAAAGTCAGCCACCTTGATTTGGCATCTCCTATTCAACTTGTATTTTCACACGGATAATCTTCCAAATTTCTCTATCATTATGTAGAGATCACCCTACCACTGGCCAGCTAGTTTGTGTTAATGTTTTTTTTTGAAATGGAGTCTCGCTCTGTCGCTCAGGCTGGAGTACAATGGCGTGATCTCGGCTCACTGCAACCTCCGCCTTCCAGGTTCAAGTGATTCTCCTGCCTCAGCCTCCTGAGTAGCCGGGATTACAGGCGCCCACCACCACACCTGGCTAATTTTTGTATTTTTAGCAGAGACAGGGTTTCACCATGTTGGCCAGGCTGGCCTCGAACTCCTGACCTGAGGTGATCCACCCACCTCGACCTCCCAAAGTGCTGGGATTACAGGCGTGAGCCACCACGCTTGGCTCTAGTTTGTGTTAATTTTATAGTAATATTTATTATCTTTTCAGTGGTTTCTGGTATCTGGAGGTGTTTTTGCAAGCAGCAGCAATACTTTTTTTGGGAGTGCGTCTTGGGTGGGGTTTTTAAAGTCTCCCTTTCATAAATCTACTTTACAGCATTAATCTGTGAGGACTTGCAGTCTCCACCTAACCTCAAAAAGTAACATGTAAAATCGGTGACATCAAGATTCCACTGATGTGTGATTCAGAAATGTCACACCACCCGCTCATGCCATGGTGTTATCAACATTAAAAAATATTCTGTGATTTATTTTATAAAACAATAGCTTTAAAAAATAAACTTTAAATTTTAGAATGGTTTTAGATTTACAGGAAAATTGCAAAGATAGTACAGAGAATTTATCACCAACGTTTTGAAATTTGTTTAAAAATGTTTAGGTTTGGGGTTCTCTTTGGGGTTATTTGTGGTGACCCTGTACTCTTGTATAACGGCTAAGTAAAATATTTCAAGCAGTAGCTGGATCTCAGTCTCCTGTAATCTGAGTACACTATATCAAGAAACTCCTCTATTGAAGCAGCATTTCCCTCTTATTATATCTATACAACTGTGGTTGCTTTCTGGTTTATAGTGGGATACACTTCTGCACAGCCAGTGAAGTGATTGATCAGTGAAAATAGGCCGTTAAGGTTCCACCTATCAGATTTTGAGGATAATATGAGGATGCACAATATATGACTTTGTTTTATACAAAGTATCAATGTTAGTAAGGCTTTTGCATATGTGTAGGATATGTCTTACAATTGGATTGGACCTTCTCAATCATCTTAAACCCAAATGGCCAAATATGCCGTATTTTGTAACAAAAAATATACAGTTAAATATTTTACTGTATCTTAAATTATTTTGTTCTTTTCTTTTTCATAAAATGATATAATTTGATTATCTTTCTAATGTTTTGTAAAGGGATTTTAAATCAAGTGTATTTGAGGTAGAGCTCATGTACAATACAATGTATTCATTTCAAATGTGCGTTTCCAAGTTTCAGCAAATGTACACACCCATGTATCCATCACTAGGGAACATTTTCATCACCTTAAATGTTCTTTTGTGCTCATACCAGTCAGTCTCCCTGGCTCCAGGAAACAGCTGGTCTGCTTTCTGTCACTACAGATTTGTCTTTTCTAAAGTTGTATATAAGTAGAATTATATATAATATACTCTTCTGTATCTGGCTTTATCCACTCAGCATCATGTCTTTGTAATTTATTCACTTTTTTGTGGCTATCAGTAATTCATTACCTAAAACAATTTCTTGGCTGGGCATGGTGGCTCACGCCTGTAATCCCAGCATTTTGGGAGGCCAAGGCGGGTGGATCACACGGTCAGGAGTTCGAGACCAGCCTGACCAACATGGTGAAACCCCATCTCTACTAAAAATACAAAAATTAGCTGGGCATGGTGGTGCACACCTGTAATCCCACCTACTCAGGTGGCTGCACATGTAGGCTGGGTGCGGTGGCTCGTGCCTATAATCCCAACACTTTGGGTGGCCAAGGCAGGTGGATCACCTGAGGTCAGGAGTTCGAGACTAGCCTGGCCAACATGGTGAAACCCCGTCTCTACTAAAAATACAAAAATTAGCCGGGCGTGGTGACAGGCGCCTATAATCTCAGGTACTCGGGAGGCTGAGGCAGCAGAATCGATTGAACCCGGGAGGCAGAGGTTGCATTGAGCTGAGGCTGAGATCGGGCAACTGCACTCCAGCCTGGCGACAGAGCCAGACTCTGTCTCAAAAAAAAAAAAAAAGAAAGAAACCTGCATATGTATCCCCAAATCTAAAATAAAAATTGAAAAAAAAAAAGGGCTGGGTGCAGTGGGTGCAGTAGTTCACTCCTGTAATCCCAGTACTTTTGGAGGCCAAGGCTTGTGCATCACCTGAGGTCAGGAGTTCAAGACCAGCCTGGCCAACATGGTGAAACTCTGTCTCTACTAAAAATACAAAAATGAGCTGGGTGTGGTGGAGGGCGCCTGTAATCCCAGCTATTTGGGAGGCTGAGGCAGGAGAATCACTTGACCCTGGGAGGCAGAGGTTGTGGTGAGCCGAGATTGTGCCACTGTACTCCAGCCTGGGCGACAGAGTGAGATTCCGTCTGAAAAATAAATAAATGAATGAATAAATAAATAAATAAATGTAAAAAAAATTTTAAATAGAAAAAAGCTTGTGAAATTAGGATATAAAGAAAAAATTCGTACAAGTGTAAAATATGTTTGTGTTTTAAGCTAAGCATTACTACAAATGAGTCAAAAAGTTAAAAAGAATTAAAGAGTTTATAAAGTAAAAAAATTATAGTAAGCTAAAGTTAATTTATTATTGAAGAAAGAAGTTTTTTTGTTTTCTTTTGAGACAGAGTCTCACTCTGTCACCCAGGCTGGAGTGCAGTGGCGCAATGCGCGATCTTGACTCACTGCAATCTCCGCCTCCCGGGTTCAAGTGATTCTCCTGCCTCAGCCTCTGAGTAGCTGGGATTACAGGCGGGCACCACCACGCCTGGCTACATTTTGTATTTTTAGTAGAGACGGGGTTTCAGCATGTTAGTCAGGTTGGTCTCGAGCTCCTGACCTCATGATCTGCCCGCCTTGGGCTCCCAAAGTGCTGGGATTACGGTGTGAGCCACCGTGCCTGGCCAAAAGAAGTTTTTAAAGATAAATTTAGTGTAGGGGAGATGTACAATGTTTATAAAGTCTACAGGAGTGTCCAGCAATGCCCTGGGTCTTCACGTTCCCTCACCACTCACTCACTGACCCATCTGCAGCAACTTCCAGTTCTGCAAGTTCCATTCATGGTCAGTGCCCTGTACAGGTATGCCATTTTGAACCTTTTTTTTTTTTTTTTTGAGACGGAGTCTCGCTGTCGCCCAGGCTGGAGTGCAGTGGCGCAATCCCGGCTCACTGCAGGCTCCGCCTCCTGGGTTCACGCCATTCTCCTGCCTCAGCCTCCCGAGTAGCTGGGACTACAGGCGCCCGCCACCTCGCCCGGCTAATTTTTTGTATTTTTAGTAGAGACGGGGTTTCACCGTGTTAGCGAGGATGGTCTCGATCTCCTGACCTCGTGATCCGCCCGCCTCGGCCTCCCAAAGTGCTGGGATTACAGGCGTGAGCCACCGCGCCCGGCCTGAATCTTTAATACCATACTTTTACTGTACATTTTCTGTGTTGAGATACACAAATACTTACAATTGTGTTGCAGTTGCCTACAATATTCAGTATAGTAACGTGTTGTGCAGGTTGTTTGAGCAATGGACTATACTATATAGTCTAGGTGTGTAGTGGGTTATACCGTCTAGGTTTAAGTGCACTCCATGATGTATGCACAACACTGAAATTGGCTAGTGATGCATTTCTCAGAGTGATGTACATCTCAGAATGTATCCCTGTGGTTAAGTGATGTGTGACTGTATTTAAAAAAGGCTGTTCTACTTCCTTGTGGCCTCTGTGATTGCTGATGAGAAATCTGCTGTCACTCAAATTATTTCTTCCTGAAGGTATAATGTTGTCTGTCTCTCCCATTGTTTTCAGAAATGTTTTCTTTGTCTTTAGTTTTCAGAAATTTGATTATGATGTGTCTTTGGCATAGATTTCTTTGAGTTTACTCTGTTTGGGGTTTGCTAAGGTAGGTTTAGATCTTTTGCCAAATTTGGGGACATTTCATCTATCATTTTTTTGAATATTTTTTCAGCTCCACCCCCTGTCTCCTTTCCTTTTGTGACTAAAGTGATGTGATTGCTGGATCCTCTGTTGTAGCCCCTCAGGTCCCTGAGATTCTTTTTATTTTATTTTATTTTGTTTTTCTGCCCATTTTCTTTCTGTTGTTCAGATTGGGCAATTTCTATTCTGTCTTGCATTTCGTTAATTTTTCCTCTGTTTCCCCCATTCGCTAGTAAGCCCATATATTGAGCTTTTTATCTTGGTTATTCTATTTTTCAGTTCTAAAATTTCCATTTGGTTCTTTTTAAATTTTTTATTTCTCAGCTGATATTTTTCATTTTCTATTTGTTTCAAGTGTGTTTATAATTGCTCATTGAAACCTTTTTTTTTTTTTTTTTTTTTTTTTTGAGACAAAGTTTCGGCCTGTCACCCAGACTGGAGTGCAATAGTGTAATCTCAGCTCACTGAAACCTTCGCCTCCCTAGTTCAAGCGATTCTGCTGCCTCAGCCTCCTGTGTAGCTGGGATTACAAGCGTGCACCATCATGGTCGGCTAATTTTTTTGTACTTTTAGTAGAGATGGGGCTTCACCATGTTGGCCAGGCTGGTCTTGAACTCCTGACCTCAAGTGATCTGCCCCCTTCAGCCTCCCAAAATGCTGGGATTACAGGTGTAAGCCACCACGCCTGGCCCAGCAGGGGAATTTTAAGTGTGCCTTGTCCCAGCCAGGTAAGGGTAGAAATCCAGGCTGCCACTCAGCATTTGCTAATGGGATGGCAACAGGGTTGTGGTTCTTTCCATGATGTTTGGCAAGGATAGTGTGATTTTTGTCTAAAAGTTTTCTGTCTTGCCAAATTAGTCCTTTCCTGGTCTTTTGGCCAGAGAGACCAGGCTTTCTTGGGGATTTTATTTTATTTTTTTCGTTTGCGCCCATTGGTCTTTCCAGTGGTTTCTCCAGCATCCAGTTCCAGATATATGAGGAAGAAAAGAAAACCCAGAGAACTCACTGCCATGCCATTCCCAAGGTCCCAAGGCTTCCAATTGTTCTGTCTTCTCTCCACCTTCAAGAGCCTTTTAGTGTTTGTTTTATCTATAATATCCATGGTTTTAGCTATACTTAGTGGGAAGTATAGGAAGAAGTGCCTCCATTTAATCTTAAATTCATTCCTTTTTATAGCTGAGCAATATTTCATTGTATAGAAATGTCACAATTTGATCATCCGTTTCATCAACCTGTTGACAAACATTTGGATTGTTTCCAGCTTTTGGCTTTAGGAAACAGTGCTGCTTTGAACGTAATTTAATGCTGTTATGAATATATGTTGTCGGGTCTTTGTGTGGACTGTTTTCACTTCTCTTGGGTAAACACCTAGGAGTGGAATTGCTGAGTCATGTGGTAATTGTGTGTGTAACTTTATGAGAAATTGTCAAACTGTTTTTCACAGGAGTTGTACCATTTTACTTTCCTACCAGCAATGTTCCAGTTGCTCTACAACCTCACCAATGTTTGGTTTTAATAGTCTTTTAAGTTTTAGTCATTCTAGTTTTAATTTGCGTTTCTCTGGTGACTGATGATGTTGAACATCTTTTCATGTACGTATTTGCTATTCATATAGCTTATTCAGTGAAGTGTCTGTTAACAAATTTGGCCTCTTTTTATTGGGTCGCCTTCTTGTTATGAAGTTGTAGAAGTTCTTTATATATTCTGAATACAATCTTTCATTAGATACGTGTTTTACAAATCTTTTTCTCTCAGTCTGTGCCTTGTGTTTTTGTAGTCTTTTTAAAAAGAAAGATTTGTTGGACTTGAAATTTTCATTGTTTTAACTGTGTCTTTTGAAGACAACAAGTTTTAAATTTTGATGAAGTTTGTTCTTTTTTTCTTTTGTTGCTTGTATTTTTGTGTCTTATTTAAGAAAACTTTGCTTCAGCCAAAGTCACAACATTACTCTCCTATGTTTTTTGTCTAAAAGTTTTATAGCTTTGGGAAGCCGAGGTGGGCAGATCACGAGGTTGGGAGTTTGAGACCAGCCTGGCCAACATGGTGAAACCCCCGTCTCTACTAAAAATACAAAAATTAGCTGGGCATGATGGCGGGTGCCTGTAATCCTAGCTACTCGGGAGGCTGAGGCAGGAGAATCACTTGAACCCAGGAGGCAGAGGTTGCAGTGAGCCGAGATCACACCACTGCACTCCAGCCTGGGCGAGAGGGTGAGACTCTGTCTCAGAAAAAAACAAAAAAGTTTTATAGCTTCAATTCATATACTGAGGTTTATTATTTATTTTGAATTATTTTTATATGGCGTGAGATAAAGTTGAGCTCTATTGTTTTGCCTATGGATATCTGATTATTCCAGCACCTTTTGCGAAGATTATCCTCTATTATCTTGATACCTTTGTTGAAAATCAATTAATTATATACATGTAGGTCTATTTCTGGACTCTGTCCCATTGATCTATATGTCTATCCTGATGCCAACACTCTTGCTAATAATATATATTACCGTTTCATATATTAATATCTATTACTGAGCTAGCTTTATAGTTAGCTAAGTCTTGAAAGTCAGATAGTATCAGTCTTCCAACTTTGTTCTTATTTTTCTAGATTGTTTTGGATCTTCTAGATATTTTGCTTTTCTATTTAAACTTGAAATTCTGCTTGTCTCCTTCTATAAAATAGCTGTCTGAGGTTCTGATTTTTATTGATGCCTAAATCAGTCTAGGAAGAATTGATGTCTTTTTTTTTTTTTTTTTTTGAGATGGAGTCTCGCTCTGTTGCCCAGGCTAGAGTGCAATGGTGTGATCTCAGCTCACTGCAACCTCCACCTCCTGGGTTCAAGCAACTCTCCCGCCTCAGCCTGTCAAGAAGTGGATTACAGGCACCCGCCAACATGCCTGGCTAATTTTTGTATTTTTGTAGAGACAGGGTTTCACCATGTTGGCTAGGCTGGTCTTGAACTCCTGATCTCAGGTGATCCGCCCGCCTCGGCCTCCCAAAGTGCTGGGATTACAGGCATGAGCCACCACGCCTGGCTGAAAATTGGTATCTCAACTATACTGAGTCTTCTGCTCCATGGGCATGGTGTACTTCTTTATTATTTATTTATGTGTCAACGTCTCTCAGTATTCTGTAGAATTTCAATTTTCAATTTTGGTCATTTCTTGTGACTTTGAAACCAGTTTTATTTTCTTTCTATCTTCCTCTCTCTATCCCTCTATCCTTCTTTTGCCTTCTTCCTTCTCTTCCTCTTTCCCTCCTTTCTATAGTTTTTTATTCTTTTTTTCCTTTTAAAACTCAGCCATATAGTACATATCTTGAATCCTTGTTGACTTTTCATCGATGTATTACAACTTAAAATGCATTCTTTAGACAAATACATTTGGCAAACCTTAAAATGACGTTAGGCAGCGGTTGCAGCCAAGCACGCAGCACTTTGTGTGGAGAAGCTGTTGTGCGTAGAGTAGTTGTTGAGAGCGCAGACCATGGATCCAGACCACCCGTGTTTGCAATTCTGTCTCCGTTATTACTAGATGTGTCATCTTGGGAAAGTTATTTCATCTTTGTGCCTCAGTTGCTTCATTTGTAAATTGTGAAGAAAAGTACCTACCCTGAATGATTTTTGCGAAAATTAAAGGTCAATACAAGTGAAATGATCGGAATAGTAACTAGTAAGCACTGGTTTAGTGTATGATAATAACTACTATTATTATGACCCACTGTCTACTGGGAAAAGAAGCCTTGCAGTGAAAACACAAATAAAATGTGTAAGAATCCTGACTGGCATGGCCAGGTGCGGTGGCTCATGCCTGTAATCCCAGCACTTTGGGAGGCCGAGGCGGGTGGATCACCTGAGGTCGGGAGTTTGAGACCAGCCTGACCAACATGGAGAAACCCCGTCTGTACTAAAAATACAAAATTAGCCGGGCGTGGTAGTGGGCGCCTGTAATCCCAGCTACTCGGGAGGCTGAGGCAGGAGAATCACTTGAACCTGGGAGGCGGAGGTTGTGGTGAGCTGAGATTGCTCCATTGCACTCCAGCCTGGGCAACAAGAGCAAAACTCTATCTCAAAAAAAAAAAAAAAAAAAAAAAAAAAAAGAATCCTGACTGAAGCCTAGGAGCACAGAGATTGGAAGAGTCAGGGGAGTTTTCAATGAGAAGTTAATACTGAAGTCTTTAGACTACTTTTATTCAGGTATGATTGATATGAAAAGCTATTCCTATTTAATTATCACATATCAATGAATTTGCAGTTAAATATATGCCTGTGAAACCAACACTACCATCAAACCCATCGTCATCTCCCAAAGTTTCCTCCTGTCCCCTTCTGTGATAATGATGATGATGATGATGATGATGTGTGGCTCTTTTTTTTTTTTGGCAAGAACACTTACCATAAAATCTACTCTTTTAGCAATTTTAAGTACAAAATACAGCATCGTTAGCTACAGGCGGTATGCCATATAATAGATTTCCAGAACTTATTTATCTTGCATAATTGAAGCTTCGTACTCTGTAATTACCACTTCCTCATTTTCCCCTCCCTGCATCCCTTGTTTTTTTTTTTTTTTTTTTTTTTTTTTTTTTGAGACAGAGTCTCACTCTGTTGCCCAGGCTGGAGTACAATGGCATGATCTCAGCTCACTGCAACCTCTGCCTCCTGGGTTCAAGCGATTCTCCTGCCTCGGCTTCCTGAGTAGCTGGGACTACAGGCACCCGCCACCATGCCCAGCTAATTTTTGTGTTTTTACTAGAGACGGGGTTTCACCATGTTGGCCAGGCTGGTCTCGAACTCCTGACCTCAGGTAATCTGCCCACCTCGTCTTCCCAAAGTGCTGGGATTACAGGCGTGAGCCACCGCGCCTGACCGACATTTGTTATTTTTGAATTTTTGATAATACTCATGCTAACAGGTATGAGATTATGTCTCACTGTGATTTTGATTTGCATTTCCTTGATGATGACTGATGTTCAACACCTTTTTATATACCTGTTGGGCATTTGTATGTCTCCTTTGGAAAAATGTTTATTCAGGTATTTTGCCCACTTTAAACATCAGGTTTTTTTTTTTTTTTTTGCTGTTGAGTTGTATGAGTTCCTTATACATTTGGAATATTAACCCCTTATCAGATACATGGTATGCAAATGTTTTCTCCCATTCTGTGGTTGCCTTTTCATTTTGTTGATTGTTTTCTTTGCTGTGTAGAAACTTTTTAGTTTGATATAATTCTATTTATTTTTGCTGTTGTTGCTTGTGCTTTTGGTACCATATCCAAAAATGGATATGGATTTTGATGGACCCCCCAAATTATTGTCAAAACCAATGTCATAGAGCTTTCCTGTATGTTTTCTTCTAACATTTTTATGATTTCAGGTCTTACATTTAAGTCTTTAATCCATTTTGAGTTGACTTTTGTGTATGTTATAAATAAGGTCTAATTTCATTTTTTTAATGTTTATGTTCAGCTCTTTTGTTTTTGCTCACAATTTCTTTAGATATTAGAAGTCTTTTGTAGCTCAATACAAGTTTTAGGATTTCTTTTTTCTATTTCAGTGAAAAATGCCATTGGAATTTTGAAAGGGGTTGCAGCGAATCTTTAGATCACTTTGGGTAGTAGAGACATTTTGATAATATTGATTTTTCCTATTCATGGACATGGGATTTTGTGGAATAGGTTTACTGTGCACTGATTACCAACTTCCCTGAGTCCAGTAAGACTGAACACACTTATACGCAGCAAATTAAATATAGTGGATTTATTACCTACAGATAGGCAGCAAGGGACAACAGAAACCCAGTGTTCATTGCAAGCATTCCCGGAGTCTCTGGAAAACTGCTTGTGGTGGATGGAGTGTCATATGTGCATGCTCCACCTGCATTGCAGCTGAGGGACCTCCTCAAAAAAAGCAGCCTGCCCTGGCTTTTTTTTTTTTTTTTTTTTGGAGACAGAGTCTCACTCTGTTGCCCAGACTGGAGTGCAGTGGCATGATCTTGGCTCAGTGCAACCTCCGCCTCCTGGGTTCAAGGGATTCTCCTGCCTCAGCCTCCTGTATAGCTGGGACTACATGAGTGTGCCATCAGGCCTGGTTAATTTTTGTATTTTTAGTAAAGATGGGGTTTCGCCCTGTTGCCCAGGCTGGTCTCAAACTCCTGGCCTCCCAAAGTGCTGGGATTACAGGTATGAGCCACTGCACCTGGCTGGCTTTTTTTTAATACCCTGGGGTATGTGACATACTGGGCTAAATCACTGAAGGACATCTTATTTCTAGGGGAGACTGGAATAGAGCCTGGGCTATTCTGGCCAACTCCTTATCTCAGGATGGCGAATTCCCAGCACATTTTATAGTTATTCTTGGGAACTACAAGCAAGAAAGGGGAAGAACTAAGTCAGTGCAAGTCTACCTCCTCCCTAAATAACTGTCCTGCAGATATCTTTCCATTTATTTGTGACTTTCCAATATATTTCATTAATGTTTTATAGTTTTCAGTGTATAGGTCTTTCACCTCCTTATTTAAGTGTATTCCTAAGTATTTTATTCTTCCTGATGTTATTGTAGATGGAATTGTTATCTTAATTTCTTTTTTGGATAGTTCGTTGTCAGGGTATAGAAATGCTACTGATACTGTAGGTTGGTTTTTGTATCCTGCAACTTTACTGAATTCATTTATTAGTTTTAGCAGTTTTTTTGGTGGAATCTTTAGGGTTTTCTACATATAAGATCATGTTAGCAAATGAGACAATTTAACTTCTTCCTTTTCTATTTGGATGCCATTTCATTCTTTTTCTTGCCTAATTGCTCTGGCTAGGCCTTCTAGTACTATGTTGAATAGAAGTGGTGAGAATGGATATCCTTGTCTTGTTCCTGGTCTTAGAGGAAAACTTGACTTTCACTGTTGAGTATGATGCTAGCTGTGGGCTTGTCATGTATGGCCTTCTTATGTTGAGTTACATTGTTCAGTACTTAATTTGTAAAAAGATTTTATCATGAAAAGATGCTAAGTTTTGTCAGATGCTTTTCTGTATCTATTGAGATGATCATTTTTATCCTTCATTCTGTTACTGTAATATGGATCACATTTATTGATTTGTGTATTTTGAACCATTTTCGCATCCCAGGAATAAATCTAACTTGATCATGGTGTATTATTCTTTTAATGGATTGTTGAATTTTGTTTGCTAGTATTTTGTTGAGGATTCTTGCATTTGTGTTTATCAGGGATATTGTCTCGTATTTTTCTTTTCTTGTAGTGTTCTTATCTGGCTTTGGGATCAGGGTAATGCTGGTCTTGTAGAAACAGTTTAGAAGTGTTCCCTCCTCTTTAATTTTTGGAAAAAACTGAGAAAGATTGGCATTAATTCTTTTTAAAGGTTTGTAGAATTCACCAGTGAAGCCATCTAGTCTTTGTTAGTGCTCTGTTCAGATTTTGTATTTCTCCTGACTTAGTTTTTGTAGGTTGTAAGTTCTGAGAATTTATCCATTTTTTTATGCTACCCAATTTGTTGGTGTATAATTGCTCACAGTAACCTCTTCTGATCCTTTGTATTTTCATGGTATCAGTTGGAATGACTCATCCTTCATATATAATTTTATTTATATCTCATCTCTTTCTTAGTTTAGCTAAAGGTTTGTCAATTTTGTGTTTTTCAAAAACCCAACTCTTTGTTTCATTGATTTCTCTTTATTATTTTTCTAGTCTCTATTTCATTTATTTCTGGTCTAAATTTTATTATTCCTTTTGCTAACTTTGGGCTTTGTTCTTATTTTTGTATTTCTTTGGGGTGTAACTTTAGGTTGTTTATGTGAGAACTTTTCTTTTATTAACGTAATCATTTGTTGCTATAAACTTCCCTCCAATAACTGCTTTTGCTGCATCCCATACATCCCATTTTGGTTTTTGTTTGTTTGTTTGTTTGTCTCAAGATATTTTTGTCTCTTCTTTTAATTTCTTCTTTGACCCATTGGTTTTTCAGGAGTGTGTTGCTTAATTTCTGCATATTTGTGAGTTTTCCAATTTTCCTCCTATTATTCCTAGTTTCATTTCATTGTGATTGGAAAAGATATTTCATATGATTTCAATCTTCGTAAATTTGTTAAGACTTATTTTGTTGCTTAACATGTGATCTATCCTGGAGAATGTTCCATGTGGGCTTAAGAAGAATGTGTATTTTGCTTCTGTTGGATAGAATGTCACGTATATGTTCATTGGATCTGTTTGGTATCTAGTGTTTAATTCCACTGTTTCCTTATTTATTTTCTGTCTGGATGATCCAACCATTGTTGAGTGGGGGTATTGATTTCTTCTATTATGTATTGCTGTTTTATGTCTTCCTGATGAATTGACCCTTTTGTTAGTATATATAATGACCTTCTTTGTCTCTTATGACAGTTTTTGACCTGAAGTCTATTTTGTCACATGTAAGTATAGCCACCTTTGCTCTCTTTGGTTATCATTTTTATGGGATGTGTTTTTCATCCATTCACTTTCAGGCTATTTGTGTCCTTAAATCTAAAGTGAGTCTCTTGTAGACAGTATATAGTTGGGTCTTATTTTTAAAAGTCCATTTATTGACCCGGTGCAGTGGCTCAGGCCTGTAATCCCAGCACTTTGGGAGGCCAAGGCAGGTGGATCACCAGGTCAGGAGTTCAACACCAGCCTGGCCAAGATGGTGAAACCCCATCTCTACTAAAAATACAAAAATTAGCTGGGCATGGTGGTGGGTGCCTGTAATCCCAGCTACTCGGGAGGCTGAGGCAGAGAATTGCTTGAACCTGGGAGGTGGAGGTTGCAGTGAGCTGAGATCAGGCCACTGCACTCCAGCCTGGGTGAGACAGCGAGACTCCATCTCAAAAAAAAAAAAAAAAAAAATTCCGTTTATCCACTGTATGCCTCTTAATGAGAGAATTTAGTCTATATACATTTAAAGTAATAATTGATAGGTAAGGACTTACTATTGCTATTTTGTTAATTGTAGTTCCTTTCTTCCTCTCTCGTTGTCTTCCTTTGTGGCTTTATTATTATTATTGTTTGTGGTGGTATGCTTTGATTCTTTTCTTTTTATCTTTTGTGTATCTACTACAGGATTTTTTTTGTGATTACCACGAGGCTTACATAAAACATCTTGTAGTTGTAATAGTCTATTTTAAGCTGATAACAACTTAATTTTTATTACATACAAAGACTATATACTTTTACTCCTCCCCCCACATTTTATATTATTTATATCACAATTTACAGCTTTTTATATTGTGTATCGAACTATATACCATCATCATGGTATTAGAGAATTGTGAGTTTGACTATATACTTACCTTTATCAGTGAGTGTATGTTTTCATGTTGCTGATACATATTCCTTTCATTTCAACTTGAAGGTCTCCCTTTCATATTTCTTGTAAGGCAAGTCCAGGGGTGATGAACTTCCTCAGTTTTGGTTTGTCTGGGAAGGTCTTTATCTTTCTTTCCTTTTTGAAAGATGGCTTTGCTGAGTATGTTTTTGGTTGGCAGTTTTTTTTCTTCCAGCACTTTGAGTATATCATTCCACTCTATCTTGGTCTGCAGGGTTTTTGGTGAGAAACCCACTGATAATCTTGTGGAGGTTTCTTTGTATGTGTTGAGTTGTTTTTCTTTTGCTGCTTTAAAAATTCTCTGGTAAAAGGAATTTGAGGAGATAAAAAATAATTAAAACAAAACAAAAGGAAGAAAATTCTTTCTTTGTCTTTGATTTTTGACTATTTGATTATAATGTGTCTTGGTGAAGACCTCTTTATTCTCAATGTATATGGAATTCTTTGGGCTTAATGGATCTGAGTGTTTTTTTTTTCTCTTTACAGATTTGGAAAGTTTTCTGTCATTATATTTTATTTATTTATTTATTTATTTATTTATTATTATTATACTTTAAGTTTTAGGGTACATGTGCACAATGTGCGGGTTAGTTACATATGTATACATGTGCCATGCTGGTGCGCTGCACCCACTAACTCGTCATCTAGCATTAGGTATATCTCCCAATGCTATCCCTCCCCCCTCCCCCCAACCCACAACAGTCCCCAGAGTGTGATGTTCCCCTTCCTGTGTCCATGTGTTCTCATTGTTCAATTCCCACCTATGAGTGAGAATATGCGGTGTTTGGTTTTTTGTTCTTGCGATAGTTTACTGAGAATGATGATTTCCAATTTCATCCATGTCCCTACAAAGGACATGAACTCATCATTTTTTATGGCTGCATAGTATTCCGTGGTGTATATGTGCCATTTTCTTAATCCAGTCTATCATTGTTGGACATTTGGGTTGGTTCCAAGTCTTTGCTATTGTGAATAGTGCCGCCATAAACATACGTGTGCATGTGTCTTCATAGCAGCATGATTTATAGTCCTTTGGGTATATACCCAGTAATGGGATGGCTGGGTCAAATGGTATTTCTAGTTCTAGATCCCTGAGGAATCGCCACACTGACTTCCACAGTGGTTGAAATAGTTTACAGTCCCACCAACAGTGTAAAAGTGTTCCTATTTCTCCACATCCTCTCCAGCACCTGTTGTTTCCTGACTTTTTAATGATTGCCATTCTAACTGATGTGAGATGGTATCTCATTGTGGTTTTGATTTGCATTTCTCTGATGGCCAGTGATGGTGAGCATTTTTTCATGTGTTTTTTGGCTGCATAAATATCTTCTTTTGAGAAGTGTCTGTTCATGTCCTTCAATAAGCTTTCTTTCCCTTTCTCTTTCTCTGGTCCTTTTGGGATTTCTATAATATTTATATTAGTTTGCTTGATGTTTTCCCATAAGTCCAGCAGAGTTGAGCCAGCTGCTAAGATCCATGCCTGTTGTTAATGTTCATGTTCTCTCTGCAGCATTTAATGTGGGCCATGCACAGTGGTGTGTTGGGCCCCATACATGGTGGGGTGGGGCATGCAGGTTGCATAGACTCGTTGGGTGGAGGGTCCTCACGTGAGTCATCTGGTGGGATTTGTGGGCAAGTCTCCTGCTGGAGTCTGTGAGCTAAGTGGCAGAATCTGTGGTTGGTTGTTGAAACCACATGCTGGTTGCTGTGCAGTCCATTCCCTTCTCCCTGTTCCTAGATGATCAGTCATGCTGATCATCTGTATTCTGGGCAGGGAGACAGAAGTGAGCCTCCCGGGCAATGTTCTTCTTGCTGATCATCTGTATTCTGTATTCAGTGTTCTTCATGCTCATCATCTGTATTCTGTATTCAGTGTTCTTCATGCTGATCATCTGTATTCTGGGCAGGGAGACAGAAGTGAGCCTCCTGGGCAATGTTATTCAAGTCTGGGGAAGCCAGGTGTTGACTATGCTTTTACCTTCCCCTGTGGAGAGATTGAAAGCCAAAGGAGCTTCTCTCAGCACAAGCTGTGCCTCCTTGGGGGAGGGCTGATGCAGGTAAAGTGGAACTGCACTTCTTACCCTTTTCGATGCTTCCACTCTTGGGTTGATTTGCTCCAGTGGGGTGCTGGAACCTCAGCCAGACTCCAGGCCTCCCACATAATGATTCTCATCTGTCACTGCCTGCCTTAACTGGTGTTTCTATGGGGGGATGAGAGCTGGAACATCCTATTCTGCCATGTTACTGATTTCACTCCTGGACTGAATTTTGAAGAATGAACAGAACTCACTACTAGATGTATGAAGAGAAAATCGCATCCTAAACAGAGGGAACTCCAGGTACAAAGGCAGAGAAATTTAATATATCAAGGTGCTTGTGATGGACAGTTAAGTTTTTTGTGGGACTTGGATGTAGGTTTCATGGAAGGAGACAGTGGGAGTATGTAATTGGAAAGTTAGTCAGGGGCCAGATTACCATGGGCTCATATGTACAGTGAAAACTATAAAAGAAAATGGAAAACTCGTGATGACTCTGCTTATTGAACTTTACCAGCGAAGACTTTTCTTTCTATCTGAGCAGGATTTTAGACATGGATTCATCAATGCGCAGTTGCAGTACTGTACATGGGAGAAGTCAGGAGTGATAGTTGAGCTAAGAGATAGAGACATCCGTAGAGGTATGTACCGTCACAGTTTGTGAGACAGGCAATAAGAGGAGTTCATTCAACTAATTCATTCAACTAATATTTGCTAAGTATCTACCACAAACTCCCAAACTTCTAGAAATTGAAGACACAGCAGTAAACAAAGAGACAAAAATCCCACTCTTATTCTGTTACACACCATATATTTACTATATATATATATATTCTGGAGTATTTAAAAGCAAATCCCAGACATCATGTCATTTCACCTTTGAATATTTTAGTATATGTCTCTAACTGATAAGGACTTTAAAAATACATAGCCTTCATACATAACTACCATATCATTTATCATATCATAATATATAATACCATGATATTATTTAATAGTTATTATGCATTTATATTTTCACTTATGTTTAAAAATGTCTTTTTAAAATTAGTTACTTTGGGCCAGGTGTGGTGGCTCACACCTGTGATCCCAGCCCTTTGGGAGGCCCAGGCAGGTGGATCACTTGAGGGCCAGGAGTTTGCATCCAGCCTGGTCAACATAGTGAAACCCCATCTGTACTAAAAATACAAAAATTAGCCGGTCGTGTTGGCGTGCACTTGTAGTCCCAGCTACTCGTGAGGCTGAGGCAGGAGAATCGCTTGAACCCGGGAGGCGGAGGTTGCAGTGAGCAGAGAGTGCGCCATTTGCACTCCATCCTGGGCGACAGAGCGACTCTGTATCAATCCATCAATCAATCAATCAATCAGTCAATCAAATTAGGTGCCTTGAATCCAGGTTCAAATCCAGGGCCACATACTGTATTTGGTCTCTTGTCTCTATTAAAATCTAACAGTTCCCTAGCCTTCCTTTGGTATCCTTTTATGTCTCTTAAATTTTTTTTTTTTTTTTTTTTTGAGCTGGAGTCTCACGCTGGAGTGCAGTGGCACAATCTCAGCTCACTGCAAGCTCCGCCTCCCGGGTTCACGCCATTCTCCTGCCTCAGCCTCCCAGGTAGCTGGGACTACAGGTGCCCACCACCACGCCCAGCTAATTTTTTGTATTTTTAGTACAGATGGGATTTCACCGTGTTGGCCAGGATGGTCTCGATCTCCTGACCTCGTGATCCACCTGCCTTGGCTTCCCAAAGTGCTGGGATTACAGGCGTGAGCCACCGCACCTGGCCTTCAAATTTTTTTATTTTAAAATTATCATACAGTAAAATTAGCTTTTTGGTATACAGTTCTACACATTTTAACACCTGTATAGATTCATGTAACCACGACCACGGTGAGTATACACAACAGTTTTTTCACCTGTGTGTGTGGGGTAGGAGGGGATTTGGTGGTTGATCCTCTATGACACACTGTTAGGCACCCCCTTGATTGTTGCTCTATGGCTCACCTTTCCACATTGAACCTCCCAGGGCCGAGCCTTTCCAGGTTCTGCGGGGGTTTAGTGGCTCACTTGCCATTGCGTTATTCTTCTTCAGGGTAAGGAAGATTGAATTGCCCAAGCTTCCACATCGTATTGTGGAATTCAGACTCGAACCCAGGTTTTCCATCTTCAAACTTCTGTGTTTAAAATTTATTGTATAAAACTAGAAAAAACCCTGAGCACATAAGAGTACCAGAAGAACCAATTTCAGAATATAGATGCAGGATTCCTAAATAAAACAGTAACCAACTGAATCTAGCACAAATTAATGAAAAATATGTGCATGGTAGATAACTCAATACATAAATATGAAGTAAAATGAGGTACCATTTTTGTGCAGAGGTTACTAACTTGGCAGAGATTTTAAGAGAAATACTACCAACTATAGGCAATGGATGGAGAAAATAGGCATTCTTATATGTTTCTGGTGTGAAACCAAATTGGTACCACCTTTCAAGGGGTCAATTTTACTATATATAACAAAACTCTTAATATTCCATGCAACTTTTAATCCAGAAGTTCCACCTCTAGGAATTTATTTTCAGGAAGCAATCATGATATTCACAAAAATTTAGCTATGAGGATATTCATTTCAGTGTTATTTATAATATTGAAACATTAATAACAATGTATCTGTCCACTAATACTGACTTCATAAAATAAAATACCAGACACAAAATAATGTTGAAGAATAATTTTAATAACATGAACATATGATAATGTTACATTCAGTGAAATACACAGTTTCAAAACAGTATTTTTTTGTATTACAAGGGATTCTTTCTGTTGCAAGTAATGAAAACTCAACTAAAAATGGCTTAAGAGAAAGAAAAGGAAGATATTGATTCATAATACTGGAAAGTCCAGGGCCACAGTGCCTTCAGGTAAGGCTGCATCCAGCCTCATCATCAGTAATCTGTTTCCGTCTCTTGGTTTGGCTTTACTTTCAGATAGACCCTCTAAAAGCATTGTTAAAGAGAGCTACCAGCAGCTCTGGGATTGTGCTTTACCAACTTGATAACCTAACAGGACAAGAGAATTTCCTTTCAAATCATTCTAGCAAAAATCCTAGGGCTGAATCTCATTGGCCAGGTCTGGCTCATGTACTCCTCTCTTTAACTGAGAGGAGGTGTGAGTCCCATTTGAACTATGTCATAATAATGATAGCTGAAATTTATTGAATATTGATTATGTGTCAGATTATGAGTCTGAGTCCCATGATTTGATGTGTAACTTTGAGCAATTTAACCTTCCTAAGCCAGAAAAGAACACATAATCTGTGTCCTCTGTATTATTTCACTAAATTCTCTTGGCAATCCTAGTGAAACAGATTCTGTGTCCATCCTCATTTTATGGATGAAGAAACTGAAGCTCAGGCAGGTTAATTATTGTCTTAGTCCATTTAGCATTGCTATAAAGGAATACCTGAGGCTGGGTAATTTCTAAAGAAAAGAGGCCAATTTGGCTTATGGGTCTTTGGCTTTACAAGAAGCATGGCACTGGCATCTGCATCAGGTGAGGGCCTCAGGCTGCTTCTACTAATGGTGGAAAGTGAAGGGGAGCCAGCGTGTGTGGAGATCACATGGCGAGAGAGGAAGCAAGGTGTGGAGGCGGTGCCAGGCTCTTTTTAACAATCAGTTCTCCCGGTAATGAACAGAGGAAGAACTTACCCTTGAGCGAAGGCACTAATTTATTGATGAGGGACCCACCCCCATGACCCACATACCTCCCACTGGGCCCGACCTTCAACATTAGGGATCAAATTTCAATATGGGATTTGAAGGAGACAAACATCCAAACTAAAGCAAGTTTATTATTTAAGTTGAAAGAATTAGCAAATGATGCATTCACTCACATGGATTGAGAATATGGGAGGCAGCAGTTCTTCAAAGAAGAATCAGATGCTGCTTCAGACATTGACTATGAAGCCCAAAACAAAAGTAAAGAAAAACAAAACAACCCCATAGAATAAACAAGCATACAAAAACTTTAAAAGTCTACTATTAATATACTTGGAAAGGTACAGAATAGATTGCACCCATGTTATAAGAACAGAATAAGATCCTGATAATTTTAAGAGAAGAAAAAAGGGCCCTTAAAAATTAAAGCAAGAGAGTAGACCTGAAAAATGTAACAGAAGAGTTGGACGATAAACTTGAGGAAATCGCCCAAGAAGACACGGAGATGAACAATAGAAGAGAAAAGATACAGAAGATTAGAGATTAAGACTGGCGTGTTCAGGCCGGGTGCGGTGGCTCACGCCTGTAATCCCAGCACTTTGGAAGGCCGAGACGGGCGGATCACGAGGTTAGGAGATCGAGACCATCCTGGCTAACATGGTGAAACCCTGTCTCTACTAAAAATACAAAAAAAATTAGCTGGGCGTGGTGGCGGGCACCTGTGGTCCCAGCTACTCGGGAGGCTGAGGCAGGAGAATGGTGTGAACCTGGGAGGCGGAGCTGGCAGTGAGCCGAGATCGCGCCACTGCACTCTAGCCTGGGCGACAGAGGGAGACTCTGTCTCAAAAAAAAAAAAAAAACAAAAAAAAACCGGTGTGTTCAATATTTGAATAATTGGTGCTCAAGAGAGAAAAAGAATATGTAGGAGAGGCAGTCATCAATAAAACCATACAGAAAAGTTTACTCAAAACTCAAGAAGGACATGAGTTTCCAGATTGAAAGGGTTCTTCAAGTGCCCAGAGAAACGGATGAAAAAAGACCTGTCAAGGCACGTTATCATGGAGTTTCAGAACAAAGTCCAAGAGATCTTAAAAGCTTAGAGAGCAAGGGAGAGGGTACATACGAAGATCAAATATAAAGGATCGGGAATCAGCTTTGGCTTTGCCGGCTTCAATAAACAATGGTAGAGGCAAGAGACACCAGAGCAATGCTTTTCAAAATTCTTAAGAAAAACTATTCCCAGCCTAGAATTCTGCACCCAGCTAAATTATCAATCAAATATGAGTGTAAAATAAGGGCATTTTCAGATATGCAAGATTTACTTCCCATGCGTTCTTTCTTAAGGGGCTACTGGAGGCTGTGCTTCTTGAATGAGAGGACAAGCCAAGAAAGAACATATGGGACACAACAGGTAGGAATCAAACACAGGAGAGTGGTGAAGGGACTCTAGGGTAAGGGTGATGGGAGAGTCCAGAATGACAGTTATGCACTAGGTGCAGAAGGAAACAAGTCCAGCCTGAAGAAGTGGGACACCAGGACTCCAGGGAGAGACACACTGAGGGCTTCCATCACCACCATCCCCACTGCCATCATGCTAACTTTTAAATCAAGGACTCAATACCCAGAGTCTGGCCCAGATTTTTCCTTTGTACTTTCTTTATTTTGACCACATGCTGATAAAGTTCCTGCTCATTCCTCGAGTGCTCTGATGCTTGATCTACTGTGGGTGTCATCCAGAAATGTTCTGCCTTGACCTCTTCTGGGAAGTGGAGGAGAAGTCGTGATGAGCAGAATATACACAACAGCCATCTCCTTCTGACTATATCCTGGCCAAACATCTAAAACTCGGCCCATTCTCCAGCGTTACCGTATGTCTCACCTGTGCTGAGCCCAGTGATTCCCAGTGTTACTCATCATCTTACTCAATGATTTTCCCATAAAAAGCTCTTATAAATGCTTAGGGAAGCTGAAGCCAGACAATGACCGAGAGGCTGTTCAGTTTATCTTCTCCTCCTGAGCCTTCCTCAAACAGTGGTAACATCACCCTTTCCTTATTCTTCTAGATTGGTGCTTGCTGCTCAGTGTTTCAAAACTAAGTCATGTTGTTTAGGGATGTATATATTGGTGGAAAACTGTAAAGGAAACAGGAGAATGATTAACATAAGTCATCATCGTGGTTATCACTGCGGATGGAGAAGAGACCACAATTTGGGAGGGATAAGCAGAGGCTTCTAAAGGACTGGTTATGTTTTATACCTTAAACTGGGTAGATGATTATTTACCTTATTATTATATTAGGTTGGTGCAAAAGTAATTGTGGCGTTTGCCATTACTTTTAAATATTTCTGTCGAGCAAATTTTATCCATCCTTCTATTTGTATGATGCATTTTACAACAAACCATTTAAAAAATCAGGTGCTGGCCGGGCGCGGTGGCTCATGCCTATAATCCCGGCACTTTGGGAGGCCAAGGAGGGCGGATCACGAGGTCAGGAGATCGAGACCATCCTGGCTAACATGGTGAAACCCCCTCTCTACTAAAAATACAAAAAATTAGCCGGGCTTGGTGGTGGGCACCTGTAGTCCCCAGCTACCCAGGAGGCTGAGGCAGGAAAATTGCTTGAACCCGGGAGGCAGAGCTTGCAGTGAGGCAAGATCACGCCACTGCACTCCAGCCTGGGCATCAGAGCGAGACTCTGTCTCAAAAAAAAATCAGGTGCTGTTACTCAATAAAAGGGGAAGTCAATGAAACAATTAGAAATAAGAGATATTTATTCTGAATCTTTGGATAACAAAAATACCTGCAAAGAGAAAGGATAAGAAGGGACAATTTATTTATTTAATTTATTTTTTTGAGACGGAGTCTTGCTCTGTCACCCAGGCTGGAGTGCAATGGCGCGATCTTGGCTCACTGCAACCTCTGCCTCCCAGGTTCAAGCAATTCTCCTGCCTCAGCCTCCCAAGTAGCTGGGATTACAGGCGCCTGTCACCACGCCTGGCTAATTTTTGTGTTTTTAGTAGAGCTGGGGGTTTCACCGTGTTGGCCAGAATGGTCTCCATCTCTTGACCTCGTGATCCGCCCGCCTTGGCTTCCCAAAGTGCTGAGATTACAGGCGTGAGCCACTGCGCCCGGCCCTACATTTTATTTTTTTTAAAGTGAAAGCAAATTTATTAAGAAAGTGAAGGAATAAAAGAATGGCTACTCCATAGGCAGAGCAGCCAGGAAGAGACATTTTTTTTCTCTGGCTCTTTTTTTGCTGTATCTCAAAAAGAGTAGGAGTTGTTTTGAGCCTACGCACGGAAGGAACCGGAATAGTAAAACTTAGCATTTCCTACAGGCATCTCTGTGTGTCTGTCTGCTCTGTTCTCTATTAGCTCTACAGACACTCCTCTGTTTATGATGGGGCTGTATCCTGATAAACCCATTGTAAGTTGAAAATATCGTTAAGTCAAAAATGCATGTAATACACCTAACCTAGTCTAAGGTAGCTTAGCCTAGCCTACCTTAAATGTGCTCAGAACACTTACATTAGCCTCAAGTTGGCAAAATGATCTAACGCACAGCCCATTTTATAATAAAGTGTTGCCTATCTCATGTAATTTATTGAATATTATGCTGAAAGTGAAAAACAGAATGGTTGTATGGGTATTTGAGGTACAGTTTCTGCTGAATGTGTATTGCTTTTGCACCATCCTAAAGTTGAAAAACACCAAGTTGAACCATCGTGGGTTGGGGATTGTCTGTATAACGAATCTCCCCAAAATGTATTGTCTTAAAATAACAACCGGCCGGGTGCGGTGGCTCACGCCTGTAATCTCAGCACTTTGGGAGGCGCTGAGGCGGGCGGATCACGAGGTCAGGAGATCGAGACCATCCTGGCTAACACGGTGAGACCCCGTCTCTACTAAAAATACAAAAAATTAGCCGGGCGTGGTGGCAGGCGCCTGTAGTCCCAGCTACCGGGAGGCTGAGGCAGGAGAATGGCGTGAACCTGGGAGGCGGAGCTTGCAAAGTGAGCCGAGATCGCGCCACTGCACTCCAGCCTGGGCGACAGAGTGAGACTCCAAAAAAGAAAACAGAAACAAACAAACAAAAAAACCAACCACTACTTATTTGTTGGTTTACAATGCTGAACTTTGGGAAGGGATTGACAGGAACAGCTTGGTTTTGTTTCATGTGGTGTTGGCTGGGCCGCCTTGCCTGGGGCTGGAGGGTCCGGGTGGTTTCACTCACCTGTGTGGCTCAGCAGAGGTGTCTAGAACAGCAAAAGACTGGCCAGACCAATCTCTCCAGCAGGCAGTCGGTCTTCTTCTTATTATTTTTTTATTATACTTTAAGTTCTGGGGTACATGTGCAGAACGTGCAGTTTTGTTACATAGGTATACACGTGCCATGGTGGTTTGCTGCACCCATCAACCGGTCACCTACATTAGGTATTTCTCCTAATGCTATCCCTCCCCTAGCCCCCCACCCCCCAACAGGCCCCAGTGTGTGATGTTCCCCTCCCTGTGTCCATGTGTTCTCATTGTTCAGCTCCCCGTTATGAGTGAGAACATGCGGTGTTTGGTTTTCTGTTCCTGTGTTACTTTGCTGAGAATGATGGTTTCTAGCTCCATCCATGTCCCTGCAAAGGACATGAAATCATCCTTTTTTATGGCTGCATACTATTCCATGGTGTATATGTGCCACATTTTCTTTATCCAGTCTATCATTGATGGACATTTGGGTTGGTTCCAAGTCATTACTATTGTGACTAGTGCTGCAATAGACATAGGTGTGCATGTGTCTTTATAGTAGAATGATTTATAATCCTTTGGGGTATATACCCAGTAATGGGATTGCTGAGTCAAATGGTATTTCTGGTTCTGGATCCTTAAGGAATTGCCACATTGTCTTCCACAATGATTGAACTAATTACACTCCCACCAACAGTGTAAAAGTGTTCCTGTTTCTCCACATCCTCTCCAGCATCTGTTGTTTCCTGGGCAGTTGGTCTTCTTTATGCAGTGGCTCAGGGCTCCAAGAGAAGGAAAGTGCAAGATGTCAAGCCTCTTCGTGGTCAAGAACTGGCACCGTGTCACCTCTGCATTCTGTTGGTCAAAGTAAGTCACAAGACCAGTCTAGAACGCAGGGAGACATAGATTTCATCTCATGATGGGAGAATTGCTTACTAGATGAGAAGCATCTGTGGCAACTATTTTTGCAAACAATTTGCCATATCTTTTCTTCCACCTCATAATTTTGGTGTGTACGTAATTTTAATTTGCTATAGCCGAACTCCACATGTTTTTCTGTCACCTCCAACTTTATTGCTAAGTAGCAAATTCTTTTTGTTTAGGTTTAAATTCCTAAGAACAGTTGGTTTAATTCATCTCTTTACCTCGTGTCAGTGGTCGGAGGTCAGAGGCCATCCTATTTTTTTTTTTTTCCTGAGTTTTTATTTTGAAAAGCCTTAGGGTCTGGGCCCAGTGGCTCATGCCTGTAATCCCAACACTTTGGGAGGCCAAGGCGGGTGGATCACGAGGTCAGGAGTTCAAGACCAGCCTGGCCAACATGGTGAAACCCCGTCTCTACTAAAAATACAAAAATTAGCCGGGTGCAGTGTCAGGTGCCTGTAATCCCAGCTACTTGGGAGGCTGAGGCAGGAGAATCGCTTGAACCCTGCGGGTAGAAGTTGCAATGAGCCGAGATCGTGCCACTGTACTCTAGCCTGGGCAACAGAGTAAGACTCCATCTGAAAAAAAAAAAAATGCCTTTGGGATAGTTGTAAGAACAGTACCATGAATGCCTATAGACGCTTCACTTAGATTCACCAGTTTTAACGTTGGCCACATTTGTTTGATCACACATTCTTTCTCCAAGCATATATATATGGAGTTGGTTGAAGACATCATGACATTTTACCTTTAAATACTTTAGCATATATCTGCTGAGAACAAGGGCATTCTCTTACATAACCACAACCAAATTACCACACTCAAGAAATTTAACATTTCTATACAACTATCATCTAGTGTACTAACTATATTCATATTTCCACAATTGCCCCGTCGTGTCCTTTATATACCATTCTTTTTTGATCCAATACTTAATCTGTGATCACACATCAAAATTAGTTGCCATGTCCCCCTAATATTCTGTTTTTTTGAAAGACAGGAGGATCTCACTCCCTTGCCCAGATAGGAATGCAGTGGCTTGATCATGGCTCATTGCAGCCTTGACCTCCTGGGTTCAAGTGATCCTCCCGCCTCATTTTTTGATTTTTCTTGTATATAGAGATGGGGTCTCACTATGTTGCCCGGGCTGGTCTTGAATTCCTGGGCTCAAGTGATCCTCCTGCCTCTGCCTCCCAAAGTGTTGGGATTACAGGCGTGAGCCTCCCTAATGTTATTTAATTTAGATAAGTTCTCTGTCCTCTTTTGTCTTTTAGGACATTGACATTTTGGAGAGTCTAGGCTGGTTGTTTAGTACAATGTCTTTCAATATGGATTTGCCTGATTGTTTCCTCATGATTAGATTCAGCTTAAACATTTTTAGCAAGACTACGCCATAGGTGATGTGTGGCCAGTCACTTCAGGGGCTACTCTTAGACAATTGTTGGCCAGTTGCCTGTGCTTTGCTCCCATCCCACCCCACCTCCCATCATTTCCTTTGCCTGAAGTCTTTTGGGTAAGTTTGGCCACAGAAAGATGATAGCAGATGACTGGAGGGTGGGAGGAGGGGAAAGCCTAGGATATTGCCCCCTATTTCTCTGTTTTCCGTGACAGCTTTTCTTGTGTGTCTCCAATTCCTCCCAACCAAACGCTCTCTCTGTGGTTCCAGCTCCTGCGGGGGAAATACCCTCTCCTTAGTTCTGGCTCTTTCTGTTTGGCCTCAACTTCTGTGCTCTGATGAAACTACCTCATCCCGTTGACCCTTTAGTTCCAGGGTGGCAGTTGCTTTTGGCTGTTGCCGACCTCTCAGTGGCCTCATCATCTCATCCTGTGTTTGGCTTCTCAGCTTTTCCATTTCCTGTGTAACCAATTTCCTTATTAACGTTCCTCTTTATTTGGTTTGAAAAGTCTAGGGTGGTGTCTGTTTTCTTGACTAAACCTTGACTAATATAGGTAGGGTTTTCATCGTCAGTGTGATTTGTGTGACTTGTGGAATGGGGCCACGTGGCACAAAATAAGGCAGCATTAGCAACAGGAGTTATATGAGTGGAAATTCCTTTATAAGGAGAAATAAGCAGTGTAGGCCTCCTCCCTGGTTACACAAAAGGAAATATACAAAAAAGAAACATCTCAAGGTGGTAGAATTTTGTATGGTTTTTATATTATTTTTCTTCTTTTCTGTTCATCCAAATTACCTAAATTTTTTTTTACAATGGATGTAGATACTTTTGACATGAAGAAAAAATTGCCATATTTGTAAACAAATGAAGGAGAATGGTGTACAGGTGTACAAGTTGTATACAATAAAATATTATCAGAGGATACAAAAGTGGCTAACCCCCATCAAAAGACAAAAGACAAAATTACAACAAATTTAGAGACCTTAATTGGTTTTTATTTGCCATTCTAGAGTAAGGTAACACCTCATCCTACAAAATAGAATGAGTGCTCTGAGTTGCTGAGCAGAGGTGGTGGTAGGCAGAAAATGGCTGAGGAAAGCAGAAATAGAAAATAAAAGGTAGACTGGTTGTTTCAGAGTTACTTTCCTCGTAAAGATTAAAGCAGAGTGGACTTCCTTATTATACCAGCTAAAATTGGGTTGTTTGGGGATTTGGCTATTATGTCTCACTCTCCTGATTTCTTGGAAGGTCAGATAAACAACTTAGTTTTGTCTTGATGATGTGGGCCTGTAGCATGAGTGACTCCATTTTGGTTTGGTCTGTTGGACTTAGTATAGGAGCTCAGTCAAAACCAATGGCCTCCGATACATTTTATTTAATACCCCCACAAAAGCATTTGGCTCCCAAACCTTTTAAATAGAAAAAATAAGAAGGTCATTCAGTGTAAGATGATAAAAAGAGTAACAAGAGACTACTCTTATGAAATTTCTTCATATAAAATGCTTATACTTTTTGGTATGTCTGATATAGTTTATAATCTAATAATTTAAAAAAATTTCACAAAAAACAAAATCGTAAAATGGGAAATGGTTTAGTTGTTGAGGTTTTCACGTGATCACTCTAGCTCACAAATGGGCAAGTCTCCAGTGATCAAGAAAAAACTACACTGGTACTTATGGAAATGTTTACATTTAATAGGTGACATAACAGTGATTGTTTATAACAATTAAAGGCACTTTTTTCAACGTTTAATTACTTAGCTATCCTTAGGAATTTTGGAAAGCTCATTAGAAACTGAAGAATTTAAAGGGGTACCAAAGTAGCTGAAGCATGAGTTAGAATTCATAGAAAATGAGTAAAAAAGACTAGGAAATATTAGTGAAAAGATCAAATAGACTGCAAGGTTACAATAAAACTGCAGTAACCAAGACAAACAGAAATAATCAGAGATAAAATGGATTACTGGAAATGAGAAGTGCAAAAATGTAGAGGTACTCAGTAAGTATCAGATTTGAAAAATTAACAAGAAGTTTTCACAGAAGAGCCTAACATAGGAAATATGTACTGTAAGTGAGGGCATGCGAAAACCTGCTTCCACCCTACGTATAATCCAATATAATCTGGTACAAAATGTCTTGAAGAGTCAAAAGAAGGTAGTTTCCTAGGTGTTTAACTGTTTCAATGGCTCCCGTCAGTAAGTCATAGCTAGCAATGGACTTCTGACTTAAACCTGCTCATACCTGCTGCTATGGTTTGAATGTCTCCTCCAAAACCCTTATTGAAATTTAATTGCCATCATGATAGTATTAAGAGATGGGACCTTTAAAGGGTAATTAGGTCATGAGGGCTTGGCCCTTGTGAATAGATTGACGTTATCATGGGAGTGGCTTAGCTGTCGTGGGAGTTAGGTCTCCATTTTCTGTCTCTGTTTTGTGTGCTTGCTTGCCCTTCTGCCATGGGTTGATGCAGCAAGAAGGTCCTTGCCAGATTCTGACACCATGTTCTTAGGCTTTCTAGCCTCCAGAACTGTGAGTCAAATAAATTGCTATTCTTTTTAAATTAAATTAAATTTATTTATATATTTTGAGATGGAGTCTTGCACTGTTGCCCAGGATGGAGCACAGTGGCATGATCTGGGCTCACTGCAAGCTCCACCTCCTGGGTTCACGCCATTCTCCTGCCTCAGCCTCCCGGTAGCTGGGACTACAGGCACCCGCCACCATGCCCGGCTAATTTTTTGTACTTTTAGTAGAGATGGGGTTTCACCATGTTAGACAGGATAGTCTTGATCTCCTGACCTCGTGATCCACCCACCTCGGCCTCCCAAAGTGCTGGGATTACAGGCATGAGCCACTGCACCCAGCAGCCACTGCTATTCTTTATAAATTACCAAGTTGGTGACAGTCCATTATAGCAGCAGAAAATGGACTAAGACATCTGCCAAAACATGTATTTAGTCAGAGTCTGATTAAGGTTCTCTCAAGAGTTTATTCATTGGGCTCACTAAGTGCTATATGTTAGAAGAATAAGATTGTTAATTCTGTCTGAAATGAAGCATATTAATAAATAAATGCATTGACATTTTATTGTGAATAATTATGACCTTCTAGTATTGCATATTTATGTTATAGCTTAGGAACTTAGAAGAAAGTACCAAGTCAGAGTCAAGCCTGTTTGTCTTTACGACCTGCACTGAGACAAGAATCTGGGTTGAAGTAGTATCTCTGATTCTGAGAATCTCTTACTTTAGGATTTTCCATTGACAATATTGGAAAACATGATCTGGATTATGCAATATTTGGCTCTTCATAGGCTGCAAAGTTTTGAAAGGTGCTGGTGTGAATCTTGGCAGAGATCTCTGGCTTAGGCATTCCTTTACTTTCTCCCAACTTCATCCTGCGTAAATATCTCATTAGAGCGATATCTACTAATTCACAGGGCTATAGTGACACTCTATTGACACATCAGGAAAACTTTAGGACACAGGACTGGGAGGAGAAAACGGGCTTGGGATACCTTCTTATAGCTATGTACCTAACACTACCAAAATAATAAAAAACCCAATGGCTTTTATGCTTAAAAATTGATATTTATTAATTATATAATTCAAGCCCTTTTCTTTTAAGTCTCCCCCCACTCTGTTTGTAGAAGTTCGAGGTCATGATTACCTTTCCAATTTCCAGAGACACTATAAAATAACCATCATTAGATTTTTAGCTGTAGGTAATAAATAGAAGAGTTATTATAACATTCTGAGCATAATAGCTGGTGTTCCTAGAAATATCCAGGACAACTGTCATTTGTCATTTCTGGCAATGTCTAAGGCCTTGAGGCATCAAACAGGCATCTAAATGGAAAATCTGTCTGAACTGTGGTCAGTGGAGGGTTGAGATTCTTTTGAAAGCTATTGATGTGCAGTTATGTGAAATACAACCGCCATTTATGCCTGTAATCTGCTTGAGAGTAATCATGTACATAGTTAATACTCCAAACTACTTTTCTTTTTTTTTTTCTTTTATTATTATCCTTTAAGTTTTAGGGTACCTGTGCACATTGTGCAGGTTAGTTACATATGTATACATGTGCCATGCTGGTGCGCTGCACCCACTAACTCGTCATCTAGCATTAGGTATATCTCCCAGTGCTATCCCTCCCCCCTCCCCCCACCCCACAACAGTCCCCAGAGTGTGATGTTCCCCTTCCTGTGTCCATGTGATCTCATTGTTCAGTTCCCACCTATGAGCGAGAATATGTGGTGTTTGGTTTTTTGTTCTTGTGATAGTTTACTGAGAATGATGATTTCCAATTTCATCCATGTCCCTACAAAGGACATGAACTCATCATTTTTTATGGCTGCATAGTATTCCATGGTGTATATGTGCCACATTTTCTTAATCCAGTCTATCATTGTTGGACATTTGGGTTGGTTCCAAGTCTTTGCTATTGTGAATAGTGCCGCAATAAACGTACGTGTGCATGTGTCTTTATAGCAGCATGATTTACAGTCCTTTGGGTATATACCCAGTAATGGGATGGCTGGGTCGAATGGTATTTCTAGTTCTAGATCTCTGAGGAATCGCCACACTGACTTCCACAATGGTTGAACTAGTTTACAGTCCCACCAACAGTGTAAAAGTGTTCCTATTTCTCCACATTCTCTCCAGCACCTGTTGTTTCCTGACTTTTTAATGATTGCCATTCTAACTGGTGTGAGATGGTATCTCATTGTGGTTTTGATTTGCATTTCTCTGATGGCCAGTGATGATGAGCATTTTTTCATGTGTTTTTTGGCTGCATAAATGTCTTCTTTTGAGAAGTGTCTGTTCATGTCCTTTGCCCACTTTTTGATGGGGTTGTTTGTTTTTTTTTTGTAAATTTGTTTGAGTTCATTGTAGATTCTGGATATTAGCCCTTTGTCAGATGAGTAGGTTGCGAAAATTTTCTCCCATTTTGTAGGTTGCCTGTTCATCACTCTGATGGTAGTTTCTTTTGCTGTACAGAAGCTCTTTAATTTAATTAGATCCCATTTGTCAATTTTGTCTTTTGTTGCCATTGCTTTTGGTGTTTTAGACATGAAGTCCTTGCCCATGCCTATGTCCTGAATGGTATTGCCTAGGTTTTCTTCTAGGGTTTTTATGGTTTTAAGTCTAACGTTTAAGTCTTTAATCCATCTTGAATTGATTTTTGTATGAGGTGTAAGGAAGGGATCCAGTTTCAGCTTTCTACATATGGCTAGCCAGTTTTCCCAGCACCATTTATTAAATAGGGAATCCTTTCCCCATTGCTTGTTTTTCTCAGGTTTGTCAAAGATCAGATAGTTGTAGATATGCGGCGTTATTTCTGAGGGCTCTGTTCTGTTCCATTGATCTATATCTCTGTTTTGGTACCAGTACCATGCTGTTTTGGTTACTGTAAACTACTTTTCCATTCAGATCATTTTAGTTTGGTTAATTATGTAAAAGCAAATATTTGTTTAGAGTAATGCTGCTGCTCCATTAATGAATTATTGCCTGGTTCCCTCGTTATTGTACATCTCAGTCACTTTCAATTATGCTCAAAAGGCGCATCTCTCAAAGGAATCTTTTTTTTTTTCTTCCCACACTCACTCAGTTTAACTTCCTCTCCTGGTTTATCTAAACAGGAATTCATCTTCATTTTAGGAAGTACTTACTTCACAAATTAGCTTTCCTTACATTCTTTCTAAAGCAAAACAAATCTAGTTTTGTTTCTAAGAATCGAAATCAGAAATGCTATAACTTAAATTTTGTAACTGCTTAACAACAAACACACCGACTACAAGTTTTTCTTAAAGACAACATTGCCCATTTCCAGAGTATATATTTTTTCAATTAATAGACTTCATTTTAAGAGAAATTTTAGATTTACGGAAAAATTAAGCAGAAAGTGAGAATCTATTTTTTGAGCAGAAATTTTTGAGAGCTCACAAAATTTCAGGGTCTGTTGTAATAGTTGGGTTTCTGTTCCAATGAGCTTGTGGATACACCAATAGCTTATAGCCAAGTGCATATCAGTACCCATCAAATCCATGAGTGAGATATTTTTCTTTAAATCACATGGCTCTAAATGACAGGTTTTACATATACTTAGCCCTCTATAATGGCAGAGGTGGAATCTGTGGATACAGAGGGCCGACTGTTACCTGGAAAGCCAGGGTTTGTTTGCCTGGTGAGTAACAAGCGACCCTCCGTGAGAATGCAGGTTATGATGAATAGGAGTGTTCTTAGTTGGCACAAGAAAGGCAGGTACTGGGAGTATTCTCGAAAACAGCGTCTTCTCAAGGGAAAGTGACAGGAGGCTGTCGACAAAAAGGGCTAAAGTGTAACATAGTTAAAAAGGTTTATTCTGAGTGAAATGAGTGACCAAGGCCCACGACACAGCCCCAGGAGGTCCTGTGAACATGGGCCCAAGGTGCTCGGGCCACAGCTTGATTTTATACGTTTTAGGGTGACAGAAGTTACACAGATACCAATCAATACGTGTCAGGTGTGCGTCAATTCAGCCTGAAAAGGTGGGACAACTCAAGGCAGCAGCTTCCAGGTCATAGGTGGATTGAAAGATTTTCTGACTGGAAATTGGTTGAAAGAGTTATGTTATCTTTTTTATTTATTTATTTTTTTGAGACAGAGCCTCACTTTGTCACCCAGGCTGGAGTGCAATGGCACTATCTGGGCTCACTGCAACCTCCGCCTCCCGGGTTCAAGTGATTCTCCTGCCGCAGCCTCCTGATTAGCTGGGATTACAGGCACACACCATGCCTGGCTAATTTTTGTACTTTTAGTAGAGACGAGGTTTCACCATGTTGGCCAGGTTGGTATTGAAGCACCAGTGTACCAGCAGCAGCGGAGGTCCTCCTCCTTGCAGACCAGGGTTACCGCATAGGCAGTGTGCCCAGAGTAGCAGCTCAGAGGCAGGTCTGCACTCATACCCACTTCTAATTATATGCAAATTAAAGGAGTTATGCAGAAATTTCTAGAATGAGGGTGATAGCTTCCCAGTTGTCAGGTCGTTGCCATGGAAAGGGGCAGTAACCTCCAGGTGTTGCCATGGCAATGGTCAACTGACTTGGCACACTGGTGGGTGTGTCTTATGAGAAGGTGCTTCTGCCCCCCACCCCACCCCGCACCCCGACCTGTTTTTAGCTAGCCTTCAACTGGTCTAGTGTCCTAGCCCCACCTCTGGAGTCAAGTCCTGCCTCCCACCTCAGAATCTTGGTCTCCACAACCCCTTATCTTAACCCAGACAATTCCTTTCTATTGATTTCAGGTCCTTAGATAATAACAACTTGGCTGGGCACAGTGGCTCACGCCTGTAATCCCAGCACTTTGGGAGGCCAAGGCGGGCGGATCACCTGAGGTGGGGAGTTCGAGACCAGCCTGATCAACATGGAGAGACTCCATTTCTACTAAAAATACAAAATTAGCCGGGCATTGTGGCGCCTGCCTGTAATCCCAGCTACTCAGGAGGCTGAGGCAGGAGAATCGCTTGAACCGGGGAAACGGAGGTTGTGGTGAGCTGAGATTGTGCCACTGCACTCCAGCCTGGGCAATAAGAGGGAAACTACATCTCAAAAAAAAAAAAAAAAAAAAAAAAAGAGAGAGAGAGTGAGAGAGAGAGAGAGAGAGAGAGAGAGAGAGAGAAAATGGCTCAACAGCAAATGCAGGCATTTATGTCCAGGATAAACTTATAGAGGTGGGGGACCAGCTTAGTGTCAGTGCCCACTGCTTACAGGCTGGGGTATTTATAGGTATGGGCGGGAGGGGCCTGGGCAGTATGGCTTGCTGCCTGATAGGATATTGATAAGATGTTCCTTTGATCAGGCGGTTTGGCCCTTGTTCTGGTGGAGTGTGGTGTTCCTTGCATTTTCTCCTAGCAGAATAAGATAAGAGGCAGGCTGTTTCTCACGGTCCGAACCCCCGTGGAATGTTCCACTTTGACCAAGGTCTGTGAAATGGCGGGAGACTTACATAATGGTGCAGTTTGGACTAACACTTTTGAGGGCTCTTGTTTTTTTTGACTGTATATATTTTCTAGGAGGAGAACAAGTTTCTGGGTACTCTTAAATATTACTTGTGAGCTTTAAGTTACTCAGTGATTTGACTTACGGTGGTGGTTATCTTTAAATACGTCATGCTTTTTTTCTTAACCATTTTTAGTGTGGACTGTATAGAATACACAAAAGGCCACCATATTTATATACAATTTAAAAAATAATTTAAAGCAAATTAAAAAGTACCCAGATAGCTACAACCCAGTCCAAGAGTTAGAATATGGACAGAGTCCCTTTCCCCACTCCATCCCCTACCTGCAACAAACCTCTTCCTCTTCCCGGAAGTAACCACTCTCCAAACGTGTGACAATCACTTCCTTGCAAATGTTTATAGTTTTACACTTCTATATGCATTGCTTAATTTTGCCTTTTATGTTTAGACCTTTAATCTACTTGAAATTTATTTACGTATGATATAAAGGTCCATTTTTTTCCATATGGACACTTCCCTGTCCCACCACTGTCTATTAGAATTTCTACTTCCTCGCCTGATCTACACTACCACTGAGGCAGGAGAATAGGGTCTGGAGGCAGGGAAGCTAAGGCTGATTCATGCTGCTTATGAGGGAAAGGAGGGGTTGAATTGGGCTTAGGTTCGGAACCCAAGCCCGATTCATCCCTTTTCAACCCCTCCTTTTTTCTGCGAGGCAGTTGAAAAATGAAAGTACCTCTGATTGGTCCCCTCCTGCAACCAATCAGACTGGTCGGGGGCCAATGGGAACCCTCTAGAGGGTATTTAAACCTCAGAAAATTCAGTAACAGGCTTTGGAGCTGCTTGCTTGAGCCCACTGTCCTCTGTTGGAGTAAATCTCTGCTTTCCCTGCCTTGCTTTGTGTGTTTTGTCCAATTCTCAGTTCAAAACGCCAAGAACCTGGCCAACTACCCTTCAGCTGGTAACGTATTTTGGTGAGCCAGCCAGGAGGTAAGCCCAACGTTTGGGATTTATTTTCCTTTTTGTCCTCTTTCTCTCTCTTTTCCTTTCCAACTCGGGACTCTCGGTGGACAGTGCCTAGGCATGGAGGCAACCGCAGGTTTGTGGTTGGGGCCACTCTCCAGGGAAACTGAAAGGGTTCCGTGTGGAAGCGCCTGATCACCACCACCCGGTTTGGGTGAGGGACCTGAGTCCTTTTCTTTTCAGTCTTGCAGCAGCTGTTTCCTGGCAGGGCAAATGGTCAGAAATACCATATGTACAGGCCTTCACGGCCCTACGCCAAAACCTAATCATCTCCGCAAAGAAAGTCCAAAGACAGGACTAGATAGTATAGATGACCCCCTTTTATAAGGGCCACCTGTCTCTCAGGGTGAACATAACCGCCCCCACGTAGCCCCTTGCCAAGTGCTCCTGAGGCTAAAACCCAAACCCTGGACACCCTACTAGGTCCCCCTCACGCTCGGAGGGGACACTACATTCCACTCTCCCTCCAGCCCTGCTACCCCTTCAGGAAGTAGCAGGAGCCGAGGGGCCAGTCCTAGTGCAGGCCACCTTCTCTATAACTGATATACAACGGTGTCAGGGAAAGCTAGGAAGCTCTTCTAAGAATCCCAGGAAATTAGCAGATGGGTTCCAAACTTTGACCTCAGCCTTCGATCTCTCACAGAGAAATGTTCAATTCATTCTAGCAACCTCTTGCACCCCCTTTGAAAAGGAATGAATCTTTTGAGGCTGCCCACTGGGAAGCAGACGATTTATTTGCCCAAAACCCTCAGGGCAATCACCTGGGCCCAGACACAGTCCCCACAACTGATCCTAATTGAGACTCTAATGCTCTCGTGGGAACGAAAAACTGGGCTAAATTTCTTGAGGCTCTCCTTGGAGGAATGAGAAAGGGAATAACTAAGGCAGTAAGTGATGATGAAGTAAGGGAGGTTCCACCGGACCAGGTAACCCTTGCCATGCTCATGCTACAATCTGGAAAGGAAGAGGGCTGCTAACTAGCAAACACTCCCCTGTAAAGCATAGGCCTGAAATTCTGCAGCTTTTGGAAGCAATACACCTGCCAAAGGCTGTAGCTGTAATTCATTGCAGGGAGCATCAAAGGGCCTTAACCCTTATAGCACAAGGAAACAGAAAGGCTGATAGAGAAGCGAAAGCTGTAGTTCTCAGGGTGCAATCCCAACAGATTCCAGCTCTACTTCTTTTCTGTGATTCCCCAATGGAGCCTGAATACACACCACAGGAAGAACAGTTAATAAAGGAGCAAGGGGGACAAAACCCAGGATGCTGGTGGTACATGGCATCAAAACCACATCTCCCTCAAGCAGCCTGATGGAGAATTAGAAAAACTCTGCATGACTCTTTGCATATGGGGAGAGAAGCCACCCTGGCCGTGGTTAACAGGCTCTTCATTGAGCCTAACTTAGCTTCTGTGGTTAAGCATGTCTGTCAAACCTGCTCACTGTGTGCACTGAACAGCCCAGGAAACAGAATGCCTCCTGTAATAGAACCAGTCCAGAGGGGAGTTGTATTAGAGGACGCTGATAGAACATACCCAGGAAAAGATGGGCGATTAGACTTCACACATATGCCAGCTGGCAGAGGTTATAAGTTTTTGTTAGTGCTAATAGATATCTTTACTGGTTGGGTCGAAGCTTATCCTACCAGATCAGAGAAGGCTACTGTGGTTATAAGGTTCTCTTAAAAGAAATAATCCCCCAGTTTGGGTTACTTCAGCGTCTCCAAAGTGATAACGGCCCATACTTTATCTCCCAGATAACTCAAGTAGTTGCTAAGGCTCTCAGAATCAAATACTATTTACATTCAGCATGGAGGCCTCAATCCTCTGGGAAAGTAGAAAGGGCTAATCAACCTCTAAAAGGATCGTTAGCTAAGTTCGATCAGGAAACATCAGAAGCTTGGGTCAGCTTACTGCCCATAGCTCTCTTAAAAATCTGTAATACCCCTAGAGCAAAATTTAATATAAGCCTATACGAAGGCTATTAGTTTGTTTTTATGTGTGTGTGTGTGTGTTTTTTTTTTTTTTTTTGAGACGGAGTCTCTCTCTATCGCCTAGGCTGGAGTGCAGTGGCACGATCTTGGCTCACTGCAAGCTCCGCCTCCCGGGTTCACGCCATTCTCCTGCCTCAGCCTCCCGAGTAGCTGGGACTACAGGCGCCCGCCAGCACGCCCAGCTAATATTTTGTATTTTTAGTAGAGACGGGGTTTCACCGTGTTAGCCAGGATGGTCTCGATCTCCTGACCTTGTGATCTGCCCGCCTCGGCCTCCCAAAGTGCTGGGATTACAGGCCTGAGCCACTGTGCCCGGCCTTGTTTTTTTGGACATGGAATTTTCGCTCTTGTTGCCCAGGCTGGAGTACAATGCCTTGATCTTGGCTCACTGCAACCTCTGCCTTCCGGGTTCAAGCGATTCTCCTGCCTCGGCCTCCCGAGTAGCTGGAATTACAGGCATGAACCACCATGCCCGGCTAATTTTGTATTTTTAGTAGAGATGGGGTTTCTCCACGTTGGTCAGGCTGGTCTTGAACTCCTAACCTCAGGTGATCTGCCCGCCTTGGCCTCCCAAAGTGCTGGGATTACAGAAGGCTATTCTTAACTGATGATGTAATTACTGATTCAGAAACAGCTGGTTTAGTAAAATACCTAGTTAACCTAGGACAATGTCAGCAGGTTTATACAGAAGTTTGGAACTCAAAGGCTTCCGGTACTGGAAGCTAACCAGCCACCTCAAATCAGGCCAGCAGATAAGGTGCTTGTTAAAGCATGGACGGAGGGGTCACCTCCTCAACAATTACAACCCCAATGGAAGGCACCGTTTTCAGTGATACTGGCCACGCCTTCTGCGGTCAAAGTACTGGGATTAGATAGTTGGATACACCTTTCAAGGATCAAGTCTGTGATACCTGAAGCCCCGGACCTGGAACCTGAAGTTCCCATCAGCCACTGCACCTGTGAACCTGTGGCAGCCCTGAAGTACCTGTTTAGAAGACAGCCAAAAGAGAAATGCCTACCAACGTTCCTTGGTGTTTTTGTTGCATAGTTACTGTAGGCTGGATAATAGTAGCCATGTTTTTTTTTTTTTTTTTTTTTTTGCAGATTAATTACCTTCTTTCAAACAGTTGGAATCACTTCCTTCATAGTAATTAAGTAGAATCTTTTAATTCATTTCTATAACAAACATTCCTGACAGCATAGGTGTCCACCTCCTGAAGTTCCCATGAAATCTTTTAACCATTCATTTCCTCTTGCCTGGAGATGATTGTGCAGTAAGGTTTCCAGCCAGTTCCAAATGAATTCACCACCCCTGGCCATCAAGAAACTACCCTGTCTCCACTAGACAGAGCAGGGTGAGAGTTCTGTGATTCCAATAGGCAGGGACTGTCAGTCAAGTCAGTGTGACGCAGTTACAGAAAAAAGACCATCAGTCCCTCTGTCTCACATAAAGACTTACGGGGATCCTGTCTCTCAGGGGGGGAAATGAGGCAGGAGAATAGGGTCTGGAGGCAGGAAACCTAAGGCCGGTTCATGCTCACTGGATATCAGAGGCTACTCTTCAACACCCCCTTTTTCTGCGCGACAGTTGCTGCCCCTCCTTTTTCTGCCTGGCGGTTGAAAAATGAAAGTACCTCTGATTGGTCCCCTCCTGCAACCAATCAGACTGGTCGGGGGACAATGGGAAACTCCTAGAGGGAATTGAAACCCCAGAAAATTCTGTAACCAAGAATCTTGAGCTGCTTGCATGAGCCACCCCCACCCTGTGGAGTGTACTTTCATTTAAAACAAATCTCTGCTCTTGCTGCCTTGCTTTGTCCATTTTGTCCAGTTCTTTGTTCAAAACGCCAAGAACCTGGACAACTACCCTCAGCTGGTAACACCACCTCTGTCAAAAATGAAGTGTCCATATATGCCTGTTTCTGGGCTGTCCATTCTTCTATTCCAATTGTTCTACTTGTCAATCCCTGTGTTAATACCATGCCATCTTCAAAACAGGTCATTTCTATTGATGTCTGGCTTGTTTGCTCATACTAGCCATAGCATGTCTTGCCTGATTGCAATCTCCTAATTTTGTTGAGACTTACTTTATCGTCCAGCGTGATTCACTTTGTAAAGGTCCTGTGAGTTCTCGAAAAGAGTGTGTGGTATGCAGTGTTGGGTGCTGTGTTGTGTGAATGTCCACTTGATCAAGTCTGTTAATTGTGTTCAAATCTATGTTCTTACTGATTTTTCATCTACTTGTTCTATCAATTATTTTCCTTCCATAGGTCCCCCTTTTCTGGGGATTTCCTCCTCAATTTCCAGCTTCTCTGGGAGCCCCAAATCGAATCTCTAGCTCCACATCCCCTAAAATTGCTTCTTTCTGTTTGAGATCTCTTCCGCTGTGTGCAGCAGCAGCAAGCTGGGAAGTCCCTCAGGAGAAAAATCTTGGTAAATGTGGAGCTCATCTCACGTGCTTCCTTCATTTTGAGGACTGTCTGTTCCCTGCTCAGTTTCTGCCTGCTAAGGTTTATCTCCAGTCCCTTCAAAGACCTGTTTGTTATATTTTGCCCAGAGTTTATAAATAATTTTGGCAGAGGGGTTAATCTGATACCGTCTAGTCCTCCAAAACAAGAACTAGAACTCTGGCCACATCTGTTTTCATCCAGTCTTTTGATGCTCAAATTATAACGGCCGTGACCCCTTAGTTAAAAGAAGCTTCATCTTTCCTCTGCAGTATCTTCTTGTGATAGTCTAAAGGGATTAGTCTTTATTAATACTGACTGTGAGGGAAGAAACAAGAAAGGCTGATTTTTCCTCTAAATGTCCCATCCTCTCACACCAGTCAGAATAGGTATTATTAAAAAGCTGAAAAATAACAGATGCTGGCCGGGCGTGGTGGCTCATGCCTGTAATCCCAGCACTTTGGGAGGCCGAGACGGGTGGATCATGAGGTCAGGAGATCGAGACCATCCTGGCTAACACGGTGAAACCCCATCTCTACTAAAAATACAAAAAAAATTAGCTGGGCGTGGTGGCGGGCGCCTGTAGTCCCAGCTACTCGGGAGGCTGAGGCAGGAGAATGGCATGAACCTGAGAGTCAGAGTTTGCAGTGAGCCGAGATCGCGCCACTGCACTCCAGCCTGGGCGACACAGCGAGACTCCGTCTCAAACAACAACAACAACAACAACAACAACAACAAACATGCTGGTGAGATTGCAGAGAAAAGGGAATGCTTATTCACTGTTGGTGGAAATGTAAATTAGTTCAGTCATTGTGCAAAGCATTGTGGAGCCTTCTCAAAGAGCTTCAAACAGAACTACCATTTGACCCAGTAATCTCCTTATTGGGTATATACCTGCAGTAGACCACACTGCTATAAGGACATATGCAAGACTGGGTAATTTATAAAGAAAAAGAGGTTTAATGGACTCACAGTTCCACATGGCCAGGGAGGCCTCACAATCATGGCGGAAGGTGGAGAGGAGCAAAGGCACATCTTACATGGCAGCAAGCAAGAGAGTGTGTATAGGGGAACTGCCCTTTATAAAACCATCATATCTTGTGAGACTTATTCACTATCATGAGAACAGCTTGGGAAGAACCCGCCCCCATGATTCAATTACCTTTCACTGGGTTCCTCCCATGATACATGGGGATTATGAGAGCTACAATTCAAGATGAGATTTGGGTGGAGACACAGCCAAACCATACCAATACCCAAAGGAAAATAAATTGTTCTACCATAAAGACACACGCACTCATATGTTCATTGCAGCACTACTCACAATAGCAAAGACACGGAATCAACCTAAATGCCCATCATCAATACACCAGATAAAGAAAAGGTGGCACATATACATCGTGGAATACTGTGCATCCATAAAAAAGAACAAGATCATGTTCTTTGCAGCAACATGGAAGGAGCTGGGGGCCATTATCTTAAGTGAACTAATGCAGGAACAGGAAACCAAATACTGCATGTTCTCACTTAGAAGTAGGACCTAAACATTGAGTACACATGGACACAAAGAAGGGAACAGTAGACACTGAGGCCTTTGTGAGGGTGGAGAGTGGGAGGAGGCTAAGGATCAAAAACTACCTATTGGGTACTATGCTTATCAGCTGGGTGACAAAACAGTTTGTACACCAAACCCCCATGATACTCAATTTACCTGTACAACAAACCTGCATGTGTACCCTGAACCTAAAATAAAAGTTAAAAAAAGAGATAAAATTTGTAATCAACAGCAACAACCACAAAAGCTTTTGTTTCACAAAGCATTCATTACAATATGTAAAATAGTAATACTTAGGACAGTTGGCAACTCATTAAGAATCCAAAATGATGGTGATTATTTGACAAATTCCCACTCTATGCCAGCTCTAAGTCCTAGTTCCTGACTACACGGTGCAGAGTGGGCTTAAATTAGTCAGGGACCTTAACATTTTTAAAATCACGGTGAAGTTTTAACAATTTTAAAGTGTACAATTCAGTGGCATTAAGCCTGTTCACCCATGTTATGCAGCCATCACCTCTATCTCGGTCCAGAACTTTAAAAAATCACCCTAAACAGAAATGCTAACTAAGCAGTCACTCTCCATTTCTCTCTCTTCTCAGCACTTGGCAACCACTAATCTGCTTTCTGTCTCTATGGATTTGCCTATTCTGGACATTTCTTATAAATGGAATCATTCAATATGTGGTCTTCGGTGTCTGGCTTCCTTTATTTAGCATAATTTTGTTTGTTTGTTTGTTTGTTTGTTTTTGAGACAGATCCTCACTCTGTCTCCCAGGCTGGAGTGCAGTGGCACGATCTCAGCTCACTGCAACCTCCGCCTCCTGGGTTCAAGTGATTCTCCTGCCTCAGCCTCCCAAGTAGCTGGGACTACAGGCGTGCGCCACCATGCCCAGGTAATTTTTGTATTTTTAGTAGAGATGAGGTTCCACCATGTTGGTCAGGCTGGTCTCGAACTCCTGACCTCATGATCTGCCCACCTCATCCTCCCAAAGTGCTGGGATTACAGGCATGAGCCACTGCACCCGGCCAGCTTAGCATAGTGTTTTTGAGGGTCATCCATGTTGTATTTTTCGTTCATTCCTTTTTATGGATGAAGAACATTTAACTTTATGGTATCAAAACACATTTTTTTTATTCATCTGTTGGTGGACAGTTAGATTGTTTTAACCTTTTGGCTATTGTGAATAGAGCTGCTGTGTTCACTGGTGTATAACATTTTGTAAACAAATGGAAACGTTTTTATTTGAACACCTGCTTTTACTTCTCTTGGGTACATATTTAGGAGTGGAATTGCTAGGTCATGTGATAATTCTGTGTTTATTGAAGAATCACCAAACTGTTTTCCACAGTGGTTGTACCATTTTTCATCCCCACCAGCAATGTATGAAGGTTCCAATTTCTCCACAGCTTTACCAACATTTATTCTCTATTTTTAAGAAATGGCTATCCTAGTGGGTGTAAAATGGTATATCTCATTGTGCTTTTGACTTGCCTTTCTCTAATGACTAATGACATTGAATATCTTTTTGTGTGCTTTTTGGCCATTTATATATCTTCAGAGAAATGTCTATTCAAGTCTTTTGTCCCTTTTTAAATTGGGTTGTGTTTTGTTGTTGAGTTGGATTTTTAAAGCTTTAAATTGCAGAAAACACTAGCTTACACAAAAAATGATTTTCTTTTTTTTGAGGAGGAGGCTTACACAGCTGGAAGGTAAAAGGAGTGATTTGTTTAGTTCCAGGAATTCTAACAATGTGAGGAGGGCTCTGTGTCCTCTTTACATCTGTCAGCTGTGATTTCCTCAAATTCGTTGCAGAGGTTTCTTTTACTACAGAGTGGCAAGGCGACCTTCAGTAGCACCACATCCATCTCATTCCTGACCGACAGTGGAAAGAAATCTTCCTAATACCTTCCATTTTAAAGGAATAACATTAGGAGAAATATCTAACGTAGATGACGGGTTGATGGGTGCAGCAAACCACCATGGGACGTGTATACCTATGTTAACAAACCTGCACGTTCTCCACATATATCCCAGAACTTAATGTATAATAAAAAATTACTTTTATATTTATTTATTTATTTATTTAGAGACAGGGTCTTGCTCTGTTGCCCAGGCTGGAGTATAGTGGTGCAATCACAGCTCACCACAGCCTTGACCACCCAGGCTCAAGTGATCCACCCACCTCAGCCTCCTGAGTAGCTGGGACTGCAGGTGTGCATCACCATGCCTGGCTAATTTTTTTTTTTTTTTTTTTTTTTTTAAGATGGAGTCTCGCTCTGTCACCCAGGCTGGAGTGCAGTGGCGAGATCTCAGCTCACTGTAAGCTCCGCCTCCCGGGTTCACACCATTCTCCTGCCTCAGCCTACCGAGTAGCTAGGATTACAGGCGCCCACCACCATGCCCAGCTAACTTTTTTGTATTTTTAGTAGAGACGGGTTTCACCATATTAGCCAGGATGGTCTCGATCTCCTGACCTCATGATCCGTCCGCCTCGGCCTCCAGCTAATTTTTTTGTTTTTCATAGAGACAAGGTCTCCCTATGTTGCCCAGTCTGGTCTTGAACTCCTGGGCTCAAGCAATCCTCCCACCTCAGCCTCCCAAAATGTTGGAATTACAGGTGTGAGCCACTACACCCACTCTCTAATACCTTTCAGAAAATGTCCAGGGAGAACCTAGTTTAGATTTCATGTCCAGATCTTAAATGATCATGGTAGCCGATGTTATGGGTAGCATAATTTGCTGAGTCTAGGTCATGTACCCACTGATGTCGTCATGGTGGCAAGTCAGTGTTGGCCCTGTCCTAACCACAGGGAAGGGGTTCTCTACAGAAAAGTAGAGTTTAGATCTGAGAAGGTAGTTGAGAATGAGTGCCGTATAGTGAATAATAGTAGATTTTTACCCCATTTTACCCCTTTGTCTTTGGTTGTATATATATTCACATACCATTCTAATTATACATATAGTTTCAAAAATGCCTCTGCTTCTCCAAACACAACTATACTTTATATATATTTTCAAAAACAGTTCTACCTCCTTCTTCCAAAGATAAATATCTGTGTTTTGTGTCCTCCATGGCCACCCCTAAGAGAGGTGCAAGGAGGATTTCATTCCTGGGAATTACCTACTTTAATAGCCTGGGTATTTACTGAAGGACTGAAGAATTACAGGCACCTATTTCCAGGCTTGGCATTTTTAAGCAGTATTTAAAACCTCAGTTGACATTTGATGATTCTGTGGCATAATAACCACATCCAGAGATCTTGTCTAAACCTGGACCTTGACTCTTGATCCTCATCTTGTGGTTTCTATTTCTTGCCAATAATCTATTCTGGCTTTTCCCCATCTCCCAAAATAATGCTTTCACTTTGCTGTCTGCTTTGAACAATGTGAAAGACTTGAAGGGGAAAATGAAGCTAAATAATGTGGCATTTCCCCCAAGATTATAACCTACTGGATGCATTTTTATAAGGGATATGATGCTTTTGTCTGGCAAAGAATACCTAGAATATAATATTTGAGAGAGAATCAGACTTCCCAAATTTTCTGGCTCATCCAAGACCCAATATTTTATTTATTCATTTAATCATTTTTTCAACAATTTAAAAAATTGATGGATAATAAGTTACATAGTTTCAGGGCACACATGATAACTTAATACATTCATATAATTTGTATACATCACATCAGTGTACTTGGGATATCCATCACCTTAATATTTGTCTTTATCCTAGAAATGTTTGAATTTTTCTCTTCTAATTTGAAATGTACAGTATGTTTTTGTAAACTATAGTCACCCTACTCATCTGTTGAACACTGGAGCTTATTTCTTCTCTCAACTTTATATTTGTATTGATTTATCAACTTCTTTGAATCCCCTACTTCTGCTACCCTTGCTGGCTTCTGGTAACCACCAATCTACTCTCTACCTTCATGAGATCCACTTTTTCTTAGCTTCCACATATGAGTGAGAACACGTAGTATTTGTCTCTTTGTGTCACTTAACATAATGACTTCTAGTTTTATTTATGTTGCTGCAAATGACAGGATTTTATTCCTTTTTACAGATGAATAATATTCCATTGTGTATATATACCACGTTTTCTTTAGCCATTCATTCGTTGATGGGCACTTAGATCGATTCCATATTTTGGCTATTGTGAATAGTGCTGCAATAAACATGGGCGTGCAGATAGCTCTTTGATATATTCATTTCCTTTCTTTTGGAGATATACCCAGGAGTGGGATTCCTGGATCATATGGTAGCACAATTTTTAGTTTTTTGAGGAACCTCCAAGCTATTCTGTGTAGTAGCTGTACTAATTTCCATTCCCACCAACAGTGTACAAGGGTTCCCTTTCTTCCACATCCTCGCTAGCCTGCGTTATTGCCTGTCTTCTTGATAAAAGCCATTTTAACTGGGGCGAGATGATATCTCATTGATTTGCATTTCTCTAATAATTTGTGATGTTGAATATTTTTTATATGCCTGTTGGCCATTTGTATGGCTTCTTTTGAGAAATGTCTACTCAGATCTATTGCCCATTTTTAAATTGGATTATGTTGTTTTTGTTTGTTTGTTTGTTTTTGCTATTGAGTTGTTTGAGCTCCCCATACCTTCTGGTTATTAACCCCGTCTCAGGTGGTTAGTTATATTTTCTGCCATTCTGTGGGTTTTCTCTTCACTTTATTGATTATTTCCTTTGCTATGCAGAAGTTTTTAGCTTGAAATAATCCCATTTGTCTATTTTTACTTTGTTTGCCTATGCTTTTGAGATCTGACATAAAAAAATCTTCACCCAGACCAATGTCCTGGAGTGATTCCTCAATGTTTTCTTCTAGTAGTTTCATGGTTTGAGGATTTAGATTTAATCTTTAATCAATTTTGATTTGCTTTTTGTATATGGTAAGAGAGAAGGATCCAGTTTCATTCTTCTGCATATAGTTATCTAGTTTTCTTGGCACCATTTATTGAAAAGCCTATCCTTCCCCCCATTATATGTTCTTGGTACCTTTGTTGAAGATGAGCTGGCCGTAAATGTGTGGATTTACATCTGCGTTCTCTATTCTGTCCCATTGGTCTATTCTGTCTGTTTTTATGCCAGTGTCATACTGATTTGGTTACTATAGCTTTGTAGTAAAATTTGAAGTCAGGTAGTGTAATGCCTCCAGCTTTGTTCCTTTTGCTCAGATTGCTTTGGTTATTTGGGGTCTTTTGTGGTTCCATATATGTCTTAAGATTTTTTTCTATTTCTGTAGAGAATGTAATTGGATTGCATTTAATCTGTAAATTGCTTTGAGTAGTATTATAATTTAACCAATATTAAGTATTTCAGTTCGTGAATCTGGAATATCTTTTCATTTTGTTGTGTCCCTTTCAATTTCTTTCCCAATATTTTAGTATGGTATTTCTTTATCTCTTTGCTTTTGTCTTCACAAATTTTAGCTTAGGATGCAGAATTTGGCCTTTTCAAATTCTGACTCCCAGTCCTCAAGGATTGCAAGGTATGGGTATAAAGATTTTTCTAAAAAATGAAGTTTCATTATTCCCTCTCTGCTTTTAGATAGTATAGCTTGGACTGAACTTCTGCTTTTCTCATATAATATTATTTGAGGCCACAAGTAATGTTCAATATCTTGCTATTTTTCTTGGGGCTGAGTCCAAAGATTTAACAAATCATTGGATAGCCAGTTGCATTTCTACTGTATAACAAAACTTTTCAAATATTATTTAGGGATGGGAATAATTATCTCCTCTCTGTTTTGCACCCCACACTATCTCAGCTATTTTCATATGTTAGAGCCTGTTACTTAAATTATCTGATTCTTAGGTATAAATGACTCAGGACTTTTTCCTTTGCAGATGACAGAAACCCAACTCAAAACTGCTTTAACAAAATTAAAGTGGGTGGTGGGGAGTGCAGATGTGTGTTTCAGAGGAGGGAAGATTATCTCCACATCTACAAGTACATGCTAGATTGGGCACTGATGGACAGAATCATCAGTTTATTAGTGAAGCATAACTTGTGTGAACGAGACAAGCTGGCTCAAGCATTTGAAGATGCTTTTGAGGTACTGAGGCAACATTCAACTGGAGATCTTCAAAACTTACCTGGTTTTCATCAGTGATTGTACCCATGTCAGAGGAGATTCCAACTGCTATGGAATGTTGCTTACAGAGGAATCTATTTATAATTGGAGAACTTTAATAAATAATGCTGCAGACTTCTATTTTGAAGGAACCATTCATTGATCTTTGTGGAACATAACTGAAAGCCAGCTGGTGCAGTCTGCTGTTTTCCAGCAACAGGGAGGACAAGGCGGGAAGCTTCTCTGACTGTTTGAATAACTTCACAAATCTCAGTATAATCCCAAGATGGCATCTGCATTCAGTAAGTAGATAAAACCAAAGGCAGTTTCCAGTTTGTATCAAAAAATGAAGAAAAATTTGCCAAACTTTGAGGAATAAGAAAGGGCAATAGGAAGACCATGGTCTATCAGAAAATGGCCAGGGAACTGAGGAATTATGGAAAAACTCAGGAAATCAACAAAATCTGGAGAAAGCTCATTTACCAATGAGCTTCAGTGGGGCCATTCTCTGAAGATCTCTCCATCTTGTTTCTCTGAGAAAGAGATCGTCTACTCACAGTATGTTCAACTGATCAAGAACATCTCAGTTTAAGTAATTGGAATGCAAACTAAAATTTTACATATGCCAGTTACCATGAGCTTAGTCACCATGATTGCTAAATATACTCTCCCATTTCATCATCTTTTTTGGCATTAGAAATCCCTACAAGCTTCAGGATTTTTCTCTTAAAGCAAATACTGAAGATAAAAAAATTAGCTTCATTCAGGCTATCTTTTATCAAATAGCACATAATTTATACAGACTTGGTGGGAAATTCTGCCAGTGAACAACTTTGTTGTTTCAAATCATCAAGCCCCATTTGAAAGTATGGACTAAATATCCTTGCTTTTACTATTCTCTATGCAGCCACTTTCTTCTAGGTTAACAATGCCAGTGCAGATGATTTGATTTATGTATTAATTTAAACATTTTCCTGTCTTACACTCAGGTGAAAAATCATTTGGATATATATCTGATGGCTTTACAAAAATTATTTACAAAAAGTAATTGCATATAATACAGTGTTTATGCCAAAGTATGTTTATGTCTTAAAAACTTTAGTGGAAATGTGTATTCAGGTCCCTTGCTCATTTTCTAATTGGGTTTCTTGTTTTCTTAATATTGAGTTGTTGGAGCTCCTTCTGTATTTTGGATATTAATCCCTTGTCAGATGTATGGCTTGCAGCTGTTTTCTCCCAATCTGTGAGTTGTTTCTGCATGCTGTTGGTTGTTTCATTGGCTATGCAGAAGCTTTTTAGTTTGATGTAATCTGATTTGTCTATTTTTGCTTTTGTTGCCTGTGCTTTTGGGGTCACATCCAAAAAACCGTTGCCCAGAGAGTGTCATGTAGTTTTTCCTCCCTGTGTTTTCTTCCAGTAAGTTTAGAGTTTCTGGTATTACGTTTGAATCTTTAATTCATTTTAATTTGATTTTTAGTTCTATATATGGTGTGAGATAAGGGTCCAATTTTATTGTTCTGCAGGTGGAAATTTCATTTTCCCAACACTATTTATTGAAGGGACTGTCCTCTTCCTATTGCGTATTCTGGTACCTTTGTTGAAAATCAATTGACTGTATAGTAGTAGGTTAATTTCCAAGCTCTCTATTCCACTCCATTAGTCAATGTGTCTGTCTTTTTTTTTTTTTTTTTTTCCAATACCATGTTGTTTTGATTGCTATAGATTTGTAGTATACTTTGAAATCTGGTGGTGTGATACCTCCAGCTTTGTCCTTTTTGTTCATGATTGCCTTGGTTGTTTGAGGTTTTTGTTGTCCATATGAATTTTTGTTTTGTTTTGTTTTTTGAGATGGAGTCTCACTCTATGGCCCAAACTGGAGTGCAAGTGGTGCAATCAAGGCTCACTGCAACCTCCGCCTCCCAGCTTCAAGTGATTCTCGTCCCTCAGCCTCCCAAGTAGCTGGGATTACAGGTGAGTGCCACCATGCCTGGCTGATTTTTGTATTTTTAGCAGAGATGGGGTTTTACCATGTTGGCTAGGTTGGTCTCGAACTCCTGATCTCAGGTGATCCTCCCACCTCGGCCTCCCGAAGTGCTGAGATTCCAGGTGTAAGCCACCATGTCCAGCCCCATATGAAGTTTTGGATTTTTTTTTTATTTCTATGAAAAGTGATGTTGGGATATTCATAGGGATTGCATTGAATTTGTAGATCACTTTGGGTAGTATAACATTTTAGTAATATTAGTTCTTCTGAACCATGAACATGAAATATCTTTCCATTTATTTGTGTCTTATTCAGTTTATTTCATCAACACCTTATAGTTTTCGTTGTATAAGTCTTTTGTCTCCTTGGTTAAATCTATTGCCAATTTCTTTTTCTTGCTTAATTGCTCTGTCTAGAACTTCCAATTCCATGTTGAGTGGGCATTGTTGTCTTGTTCCAGATCTTGGGGGAAAGGCTTTCAGTTATTCACTGCTGAGTCACTGTTAGCTGTCAGCATCTCTGGATAGCTTTTATTGTTGAGCTACCTTTCTTGTATACCTAATTTGGTGATTGTTTTTATGGTTAAGGGATGTTGAATTTTGTCAATTTTTTTCTGCTTCTGATGAGATAATCATATGATTTTTGTCATTTATTCTGTTAATGTGGCATATCATTTATTGACTTGCATATGTTGAACCCTCCTTGCATTCCAGAGATAAAGACATTTCTCAAAAGAATACATATAAATGGCTAACAGATATAATGAAAAATACTCGATATTGCTAATCATTAGGGAAATGCAAATTAAAGCCATAATGAGACATCATCTCATACTGGTCAGAATGGCTTTTATCAAAAATATGAAAGATAAATGTTGTCAAGAATGTGGAGAAAAGGGAACAATTGTACAATGTTGGTGGGAATATAAATTAGTATAGTCAATATGGAAAACAGTATGGAGGTTCTTCAAAAAACTAAACATAAAATTGCCATATGATCTTGAAATCCCACTTCTGGGTATTTACCAAAAAGGTTTAAAATCAGTTTGTTGAAGAGATGTCTATACCCCATGTTCATTGCAGCACTATTCACAATAGCAAGTTACAGAATCAACTTAACTGTGCATCAACAAATGAGTGGATAAAGACAATGTTGCATACTTACAGAAAGGAATACTATGAAGCCTTAAAAAAGAAAGACATTCTCGGCCAGGCATGGTGGCTCACACCTGTAATCCTGGCAGTTTGGGAGGCCGAGATGGATGGATCAGTTGAGGTCAGGAGTTCGAGACCAGCCTGGCCAACATGGTGAAACCCCGTCTCTACTAAAAATATAAAAATTAGCTGGGCATGGTGGTGGGTGCCTGTAATCCCAGCTACTCAGGAGGCTGAGGCAGGAGAATCACTTGAACCGGGGAGGTGGAGGTTGCAGTGAGCCGAGCTCGCACCACTGCACTCCAGCCTGGGTGACAGAGTGAGACTCAGTCTCAAAAAACAAACAAACAAAAAAAACAAGAACAACAACAGAAAAGAAAGACATTCTGACATTTGTGACAACATAGATGGAATTAGAGAATATTATGCTAAGTGAATTAAGTCAGGTTCAGGAAAGCAAGTACTGCAGGTTCTCACATATATGTGGAATCTAAAACCCACAGAAGCAGAAGGTAGAATTGTGGTTACAGAGGCTGGGGGTTGTGGGGAAGGGAGAGATGGTGATCAAAGGGCATCAGATTTTAGTCAGACAGGAGGATTTTAAAAATACTTTTGAGTTCTATTGCACAGCATGGTGAATATAGTTAATAATAGAGTATTGTACATTTCAAAATTGCCAAGAGAGTAAATTTCAAATGTTCTCACCACAAAAATGTTAAGTATTTGAGGTACTGGATATGTTAACCAGCTTGATTTAGTTATTCCACATTGTATTCATAAATTGTAACATCACTTTGTATCCCATAAATTTAATTATAAATTATCAATTTACAATTTCAAAAATAAAGTAGGAAGGGGATTTATTGGCTCATAGAGCTAAGTCTGAGGTCAATAGGATTAAGGTGTGGCTGGATCAGATGTCATCAGTACTCTGCCTTCCTTTCTATTCCTTCTTATTCTTTTTTTTTTTTTTTTTTTTTTTTTTTTTTTTGAGAGAGAGTCTTGCTCTGTCACCCAGGCTGGAGTGCAATGGCTTGATCTTGGCTCACTGCAACTTCTGCCCCCTGGGCTCAAGTGATTCTCTTGCCTCACCTCTTGAGTAGCTGGGATTACAGGTGCCCGCCACCATGCCCGGCTAATTTTTGTATTTTTAGTAGAGACGGGGTTTCACCATGTTGGCCAGCCTGCTCTCGAACTCCTCAGGTGATCCGCCCTCAGGTGATCCGTCCGCCTTGGCCTCCCAAAGTGCTGGGATTACAGGTATGAGCCATCATGCCCGGCCGGAAAGGGTTTCTTAATGAGAGCTGATGGGATGGGATTTGAACTGGCAGGAAATAAAGTGGCAGATACTCCTTTGGGCGGCTGCATCAGCAAGAATGGAATCAGGGAGTTGAGACGAGGTGGGACAGGTAGGAGGAAGCCAACTCTCACTTCCTCCTTCTCTCCCCATTTATCTTCTTTTTTACCCTGAGCAGATACCTGTCATCCTTTTTTTCATTTAATATTATATCATAAGCATTTTCCATGTTGCTAATGTATTTTCTCAATAAACTTTTTATTTTGGAATAATTTTAGACGCACAGAGAATTAATGAAGACAACAGAGAGTTCTTGTATTCCCCTCCCCCAGTTTGCTTCTCCTGATGTTCTCATCTCACATGACTGGTCAATTGTCATAACTAAGAAACCACTCTTGTATGTTACTATTTTTATTTTTGAGACAGGGTCTCACTCTGTCACCCAGGCTGGAGTGCACAGGCACAATTTCAGCTCACTACAACCTCCACCTCCTAGGCTCAAGCGATCCTCCCACTTCAGCCTCCTGAGTTGCCAGGACTACAGGCAAAAATTAAATGGGTGTGGTAGCATGTGCCTGTAGTTTCAGCTACTTGTGAGGCTGAGAAGAAGAATCGCTTGAACCCAGGAGGTGGAGGTTACAGTGAGCCGAGATCGCGCTACTGCACTCCAGCCTGGCGACACAGTGAGTCTCTGTCTCAAAAAAAAAAAAAAAAAAAAATGCTGGAAACAATAAGTGGAGGGAAAGTAACAGGTACGGGAACCACCATGAACAAAACATTAGAGGCAGAAACAAGCTCTCTTTTTATGTTGGCCCCTGGGACAGTTTACTCTTCTCCCCACAAAGAGTAGCTGACCAACACTTGGAGGAAACTATGTCAAAGAGTTTAAAGCCTGGAGTGGAAAGATTAGGGGTGTGCTGGGGGAGAGACGGGGTGCTGAGAAGGAGGGAAGAGGCATGGCTGGAGAGAGAGAGAGAGAGATGTGGGAGAGCAAAGTGACTTGTCACCACTGCTTTTTGGCTGGCGTGGCAGTGGGGATAATTATTAAAATAATCACTACTAATTGTAAAAATTCATGGACAATAGAAGGGAACATCCTCAGCTCCTTTTCACCACTTTTTTGTTTGCTTTTTGTTTTTTAACTGCTCCTAACAATCTGGTGTATTTCTTCACATGCTTTCTTCCTGTGCATACAAACCATAAGAATACAAACTTACAGGATACCAGGCAACACCAACCTCCTAAGCCTCGAACCTCTCTCTGCCACTGGCTGCTTCGTCCCTGTGCTGGTTCTCCTCCTAACCTCCAGGTGGGCTCTCTATTCTTTCCCCTTCCTTCTCTCTTTTTTTTTTTTTCTGATTGAGACAAAGTCTCACTCTGTCACCAGACTGGAGTGCAGTGGTGTGATCTCGGCTCACTGCAACCTCTGCCTCCCAGGTTCAAGCGATTCTTGTGCTTCAGCCTCCGAGTAGCTGGGACTACAGGCGTGCACCACCACACCTGGCTAATTTTTGTATTTTTTTTTTTTTTTGAGACAGAGTCTTGCTCCTTTGCCCAGGCTGGAGTGCAGTGGTGCGATCTTGGCTCACTGCAACCTCTGCCTCCCGGGTTCAAGCAATTCTCCTGCCTCAGCCTCCTGAGTAGGTGGGATTACAGGCACCCGCCACCACGCCCAGCTAATTTTTTTGTATTTTCAGTGGAGATGGGGTTTCACCATGTTGGTCAGGCTGGTCTCAAACCCCTAACCTCATGATCCACCTGCCTTGGCCTCCCAAAGTGCTGGGATTATAGGCGTGAGCCACCGTGCCCAGCCAATTTTTGTATTTTTAGTAGAGATGGAGTTTCACCATGTTGGCCAGGCTGGTCTCGAACTCCTGACCTCAGGTGATCCATCCGCCTCGGCCTCCCAAAGTGCTGGGATTACAGGCATGAGCCACGGCGCCTGGCCCCCTTCCTCCTCCTGAAAAGGCGGATCTCAAGGCTCAGTCCTGCTCTTCCCTCCACATCCTTTGCTCTTGCAGGTCTCCTCTTCCACGCAGGTGGCTCCCTCATCTCCTCTTCAATATCTGACTTCTCTCAAAAGTTCCAAGTCTGGATTTGCCATTACTTGCTGGACATCTCTTCCTTTATCTCATACCCACCACTGCTCATAAAGATTTGTCGACGACCAAAGTCAGTCATTTGTCTCAGTTTCCTTCTTTAAGCTTTCCATTTTTTATCACTGGCATTTGTGTATACCCAAAGTCATGGGCTCAAAACATTGGCCTTATCCTTGACTTTTCTCATTAACATCCAGCTCTAACTGGTTCTTCTCCTGTAATATCTTTCTCCTCCATCCCATAGTTTCAGTCTATTTTACCACCTAGATCATGATAGACTTCCTACCATGAATCTGTCCCCACTCCAACCCATCTCCTTACAGCTGCCACATGAACCTTTATAAAATGCTATTTACGTGTTAATCCTCTTCCTCCTGAACACAGAATTCCTCACCTTCTTGCTTACCTGCCACTGTCCCAATTTCTAATCCTGGTAATTATACCTCCCACCGTCTACCACCAAACTGTCTTCCTAGACTCACCTCCTGCTCTTCCCACGCCCGTGTTCCACTCCAGCCCAAATCATTTAGTTATTGGTCTCTTAAAACACTGCATTTGCTGACTCCTGGGTCTTTCCTTGAGCCACTAACTCAATCTGAAATTTTGATCTCCTTTTTTTTGAACTTGTTGAAGAACTTTTTTCCCAGCTCAAATCCCAGTCAAGCCCTGTCTCTTTCAAGAAGCATTCTTTTAGCTGGGCGTGGTGGCTCATATTTGTAATCCCAGCACTCTGGGAGTCTGAGGTGGGAGGATTGCTTGAGCCCTGGAGTTGAGACTAGCCTGGACAACATAGTGGGACCCCATCTTCACACACACACACACACACACACACACACAAAGCATTTTTTGACCACCTCCACAGTCCATGGAACTGACCCTTCCAAAACCTGAGGCCAATGCTTATTGATAGACTGGGTTGGTATTTACATATTATATATTATCTCTTTGGCCTCCCTGAGTTTCCCCTGTGCAGAGACTCTACCTATCTCTATTTACCTTCTATTTCTCTATTTATCTTCAGTGCCTGGCACAGGATCTGGACATCATAGATGTTCAATAACTTTTTGAAAAAATTATTTATATATTGAGAGACAGGGTCTCTCTCTGTCACCTAGGCTGGAATGCAGTGGCATGATCATAGTTCACCACAGCCTTGAATTCCTTGGGTCAAGGGATCCTCCAGCCCCAGTCTCCCAGGTAGCTAGGACTACAGGTGCAGGCCACCACACCTGGCTACCATTTTTTTTTTTTAACTTTTCATAGAGATGGGGGTCTGGCTATGTTGCCCAAGCTGGTCTTGAACTTCTGGCCCCAAGCATTCCTCCTGCTTTGTCCTCCCAAAGTGCTAGGATTACAGGCATGTGCCACCATGCCTAGTCTCAATAGCTTTTATGTAGAATGATTATGCTTATGCATAGGTTGAAGGTTTGAAGGCAAGAAGATAAAGTTTGGGGAATAAACAGGGGACATGTTATAGGAATGGATGAAGGATAAAACTGTGGTGGGGACACAGGGTTAAAGGAGAGGCAAAATTGGGTTTGGGGATTAAGATCGCAGAAGAGGGATACGAGTATGAGATTGTGTGAGACTGTCCTACATGTCATTGGCAGTGCTCATGTTAGAGGGACCATCTGGATGTGCTCATGAAGTTGTTGGGTGAGAACCAGATGGGCCTCAGGGTAGGGAAAATTAGGTGGAGTTTGGCCTCCTCAGATCTACAAAGGCAGACAACCCAGTGAATTACTTACTTAATTTGACTCTTGTAGAGGCTCAAAGAAGCCCGTCCTGGAAGGTCTAGCTGCTTGTTTCACAAAGGCCAAAGACAGGGAAGTATTTTGTTTACTGGATTCATTCAGAAAAGTATTTATTGAGCATATACTATGCACCAGGCATTGAGAACATAGAGATTTTGTTTTCCCTCAAGGAGTTCCTAGTCTAGTGGGGGGAAACAAAGACATAAAAAGTAAATGCAACAGTGTGTTACAATGGAGAAAGAATCCCGTGTGGGGTATTATGGGGGCACAAAGCAGGGAGGGATAGGTTCACCTCGAGGAGATAGAAAAGGCTTCTCAGGGAGGCAACTTGAGCTGAGTCTTTAAATCTGTGTAGATATCTACCGGGTTGATGGGAATGAAGGACAGTTGGGGAGAGGGTAGGCATTCTGGGCAAACAGACAGCAAGAGTTGCAGGGAGCTGATGAAATTTCAGGGAAATTCATGAATTTTGGGTCAGGAAGAGATGAGTGATGTGGTTGCACAGAAAACAGGAGACCCATGAGGAGACGTCTTTGGTGTGCTGGGGAGAGATAATAAAGGCCTGCAGCAAGCAGGGGAAGCAGGAATGGAGACGGGCAGGGTGGAAGACATGCGAAGGAAGTGGAGCGGTCAGGACTCCATTGTTTAATTGGTGATGACAGGAAGAGAAAGAGAAAGAGTAGACTGTGTGAGAGAGAGCAGAAGAGAAGGAAAGATTGGTCATTGTTACTCCCTGGTTCTTGGCTGGGGTAACTAGGTATATGATGTGTGTGTATTTGCTGAGATGTGGGACACATAAGGACTAGAAGAGTTGCTTGGTTTTTGATAACCAAGTCTGAGGTGCTTTTGGGAATCATGGCCCACTTAACTTTCCACTCCTTTTCATCTGTGAAAGCTCTGATGTCTGAGAAAGGTCAAAGGGCTCCTTGGTAGAGAACTATAAGCAAGTACGATCCAACTTAAAAATAACTTACTGAACATTCACTATGTGCCAGACACAGTGTGGTCCACGCTAATCTCCGAGGGGGCAGGGACTCTGACTTGTTCACGTTTGCATTCCAGTGCCTCATACAGAGGCTGACACACAGTGGACATTCAATTAATATTTGTTGAATGGATGACAAGACATGAATGAATATAACGGTTAATGGGCAGTAGGAATATAGTAATGAGAATCTCCTGATGCCTCCTTTTGGGAGCAAGCTGTCTGGTTGGGGCGACAAATGTATAGACAACCAGTGTCCAAAGAGCATATTAAATACTTGAATAGAGGTTGGATGTAAGGGCAATGGGGACTGAAGAGAAAGGAGGAGTGACTGAGCCCTCGTGTTGGATTTTTAAGGATATGTACAAGTTTTCTAGGCAAAGAGGAAAAGAAATCCCAGGAAGAAGGAATAGACCATATCAAGGCTTAGAGGGGTGTAAATGTGTGGCATGGTTCTCAGAATAACAAAATGTTTAATGCATCTGAATTCTACATGGCGATCATAATACCTGCCATCCCCTTATAAGGAAATCTGCCCCATCCACAGTCAGAGGTGTACTTGGATGGGACCACTCCCCAGACAAAAGAGCAGGGTCAGTTTCTCACTATGGGTGTGTGTGTGTGTGTGTGTTGATCTGGAAAATACAGAGAGGATCAGGCAGTTAGCAATAGGAACAAAGACGGAGAGAAGCCAGAGGGGCCAAGATGGCCATGGGGAACAGAAGTTACAAAGAAGTAGAACCTCATGGTAGAGAAAAGACATGCTGAGCAGAGGGAGAAGCCGTGGTTATTTTTTTGGCTGAGAGCAGATGAACTCAGATGGTCAGCCCATTAATCACATCTGTGTATATTAAAAATCTTTTAGTCATGTTAAAATATTTGCTTCTAACCATCAAATATATTTTAAAGAACTCATTAGGAGAGGGATAGTCTGTTATATTTACCCAGATATTTAATGTTTCTGTTGTTCTCGCTTGATTCCCCGTGTTCCAGGTTTCCTTCTCACATCACTTCCCTTCTGTCTGAAGAAATTTCTTAAGCAATTCTTTTAGATTACATATGCTGGAAATTGATTGTCTTAGTTTTTTTTTCTTCTTTTCATCTGAGAATGTCATCATTTCACCTTCATTTCTCAAAGATATTTTTTTCTGGATATAGAATTCTGAGTTGATAGCTCTTTTCTTTCAGCACTTTAAAAATATTATTCTACTTTCTTTTTTTAAAAAAATTTTCTTTCCACAGGTTATTGGGGAACAGGTGGTGTTTGGTTACCTGAGTAAGTTCTTTAGTGGTGATTTATGAGATTTTGGTGCACCCATTACCTGAGCAGTAAACACTGCACCCAATTTGTGTTCTTTAATCCTTCACCCTCTTCCCGCCCTTTCCCCCTGAGTCCCCAAATTCTATTGTGTCATTCTTATGCCTTTGCATCCTCATAGCTTAGCTCCCACTTATGAGTGAGAATATAGGATATTTGGTTTTCCATTCCTGAGTTACTTCACTTAGAATAATAGTCTCCAGTTGCATCCAGGTTGCTGCCATTAACTCGTTGCTTTTTATGGCTGAGTAGTATTCCATCGTATGTATGTGTATATGCATATCACAGTTTCTTTATCCACTTGTTGATTGATGGGCATTTTGGTTGGTTCCACAGTTTCGCAATTGCGAATTGTGCTGCTATAAACATGTGTGTGCAAGTACCTTTTTTGTATAATGACTTCTTTTCCTCTGGGTAGATGCCCAGTAGTGGGATTGCTGGATCGAATGGTAGTTCTACTTTTAGTTCTCTGTGAATCTCCACACTGTTTTCCATAGTGGTTGTACTAGTTTACATTCCCACCAGCAGTGTAGAAGTGTTCCCTGTTCACTACATCCGTGCCAACGTCTATTATGTTTTGATTTTTTTGATGATGGCCATTCTTGCAGGAGTAAGGTGGTATCACATTGTGGTTTTGATTTGTGTTTTCCTGATTAGTGATGTTGAGCATTTTTCATATGTTGGTCATTTTGTATATCTTGAGAATTGTTGTCTATTCATGTCCTTAGCCCACTTTTTGATGGGATTGTTGTTTTCTTGCTAATTCGTTTGAGTTTGTTGTAGATTCTGGATATTAGTGCTTTGTCAGATGAATCTTCTGGCCTCCATTGTTTTTGATGAGAACCCTGCAGTCATTCAAATTATTATTTCTCTATGGGAAATACATTGCTTTTCTCTGCTTGCTTTCAAGATTTTTTTCTTTGGCTTTAGTTTTCACTAGTTTGATTGTGATTATCTGGATGAGGATTTGTTTGTTTTATCCTGTTGGTGATTTGTTGAGATTTTCGAAGCTGTAAGTTATATCTTTTATGAAATTTGAAAAATTGGAAGTCGTTATTTATTTTTTTTGTGCACCACACACTCTTATCTTTCTTTGACTCTGATGACATGAATGTTAGACCTTTTGGTTTTGTCCTTCATGTCCTTGAGACTCTATTTACTTAAACAATTTTTTCTTGATGTCATTCAAATTGCATAGTTTCTATTGAGCTATCTTCAAATTCACTGACTGTTTCCTTTGCTGTCTCCATTCTGCTGCAAGCTCACTCAGTGAGCTAAAACTTTTTTTAAAAATTTATTTTATTATTAATTTATTAATGGGGTACAGGTGGTTTTTGGTGACATGGATGAATTATATAGCGGTGAAGTCTGAGATTTTGGTGCACCCGTCACCTGAATGGTGTACATTGTACCTAATGCATAGATTTTGTTCCCTTGGTCCTCTTCCCACCCTCCTGAATCTCCTTCTGAATCTCTAAAGTCCGTTATATCACTCTGTATGCCTTTGCGTATTCCTAGCTTAGCTCTCACTTATAAGTGAGAACATACAGTGTTTGGTTTTCCATTCCATTATCTCCTAGGGGGTTGGAATGGTAGAGGTTTCTTAAAGCTTATCTCCTTCTCCCATCTCATGCACTTTTTATTTATTTATTTTCCCCCAGTATTTTATTTACTGGTTTGATGGTTCAGGTTTCAGGCCAGTAGAAGAGGTGTCCCTGAGTAGGAATCGGTTGTGGGTAAAGCAAGTGGGTAAATGAAGACCCAGGCTTGACAGAGGTGGCTGGAGGAGCCCTCGGTGAGTCACAGTGAGGTCTTATCAGGGAGAAGGGTTGGAGCCACCTTAGCTCCCCTGCAAGGTCAGCAGGGACGTTTTCCACTTCTTAGATATGCTCCTGTCCCAGCGCTCTGGCTATTCAGATCAGACAGGCACCTCTTTTCATCTGTAGGTGTTGGTGTTCCAAATAGAGAGGAATTGTGACTGTTTCTTGTGCAAGCCTGATCCTGGAGGGTGCTCCTCTTGTGGGGATGCAGTCGCCTTGATGTGTTCCAGAATGGCCGTCTATAGTTGCATCCATGTCGAGCTCCTGTGGGAGAAGTCCCAACTGTGCATATGGTGGTGAACAAGGGGGGAAAGACTGCCTCTTCTCCAAGATCCTTCCCATGCACCAAAGCTGTCTGACTGTTGCGATAGAGCTGAAGGCTTTCCCCGCTGAGCCTAGCACTTCAGCTGCGCCTCTGCTCAAGGAAGCTTTCCACCAGCGGAAGGATCTGATGCTCAAGGCCTGCCATCCCGATTCTTTGGTCCCACAGGGTCTTCCCTTGATGGGGCGCACTCCCCCTTTCCCTATGAGTGGGAGTCCCTGTGAGCCACGCTACTGTGAATGTTGTTGCTCCTCTGGGTCTAGCTGCCCAGTGACGTTGCCACCCTCCAGGCTGGTGTTGGGAAATGCCAGTTGTGAATGCCAGTTTCCCAGAAGTGGGTAGCAACACCAGCTCTACTGGGGGTAGCAGGGGAGTGACGTAGACTCTGAAATTCCTTGGTTATTGGTAGCCATAGTATGTTGGCTTTCTTGAATGCTAGTTATAGTAGTAATGAGCTGGTCATGTGGACTCAGGACCTCCTGGTTAGCCGGAGTGATGCAGGCAGTGGTAATAGCTGAGATCATAGAGCCTCCTTCTTCCTGGGTGCAATGTTATTCTACCAGGAGATGCTGTAATGGACTGTGCTGGTTGGCCTCCAGCCAGGAGGTGGTGCTTGCAAATGAACACCGGCTGCGGTAGGTGGGTGTGTGGGGGGGGGGGGGGGGGAGGGGCGTGGTGGTGGGGGCGTGGAGGGAGGAATACTCTGGTTTCACAGGCAATAGTCAGGGCCACAGAGCTCTCAAGAGATTCTGTCCTTTGTGTTAAGCTACCAGGGCAAGTGGCGGGGCAAAGCGAGATGGGGGCTGCGTCGGTCAGGTTTGTGCTCTGATTCTCCGTGTGCAGGGCAAGCAGCAGCTCCTGTGAATGTTGGGGGATGGAGTGGGTCTCAGGCCACTGGGTTGATGTTCTTCTGCCCCCGCTGCGCAGAAGAGTTTGTGCAGAGTGGGGAGTAGCAGGCAGCGGTGAGCCCCCAATTCCCATGCACTCAGTGAGGCAGATCTACTACCACAGCTTCCACTGGCAGCGGCGAGCTGAATTCCAGCCAGTCTGTAATCGGAACTTGCCACAGTTATAAGCTTTCCCCACGGGAGATCGCAATTGTGGTTTTCACGCCACACCCTTCCCTGTCCTGCAAAGCCGGCACCCGAGGTTCCTGCACCCGCGGCTTCCGCACTCACGGCCCCCTGCACTCGCAGCCCACTTTTCACTCTCCCACGCCTGGCCCTGGCCAAGGGAGTTGGTCCCCACCCAAGGTTATGTATATATATCATGAAACCCCTCGGGAGCTTCGTTCAACCTGCGACCGCCGTCTAAACTTTTTGCCTGTCCTCCACGGGGGTCCCCTGTGAGGAACAGTAAGGAACGGCTGCCCTCCTGTGTTGGGATTTGGGAGTGCACGCAAGTGTCTTCTGCCACTGCTCCTATTTTTATATTCCGCCACCCTCCCCGAGTTGGTCCCTTTGCTGGGTGGGGTTAGGGCCTTCCTCCGTGTCCTGTACTTTCAGGGTCCCTGGTGGGGGTGTGTATCCCAGAGGCAAAAACTCTTCCCCTCTCACACTCTGGGACTCACAGTCCTTCACCTGACTCACAGTGTAGACTGCAGCCTCCTGCGTCCTTCAAAGCGTCCCTGGGTTTTCCTGTTCAATGACTGCATCGCCTCTTGAAAAAAGTTCACAAAGTGAATGTCTCTACACTATTTTGTCCTTCCACGTGGGAGAGGCGTGCCAGCAATGCCTCTCATCCGCCATCTTGACAGAAACAGTTAAAAAACCTTATTGCATTTTTCAGTTCTGAAATGTTCATTTGGTTCTCCTTTATATTTTTCTATTTAGTTCCTGAGGTCTTCTACCTTTTCAACAGTGTTTGCCCCGACTTGGAGTATTTTATAACTTCTCTTCATAGTCATCTATGTCTCTTCCCATGTGAACTGAGATTTTCCTGTCTTCTTATGATGAGCAATTTTGGATTGTATCCTAATATTTTGAATGGTATGTTATGAGACAATCTTGTTTATGTCCTGTGGAGAATGCTGGTATTTTTCTGAAGCATTGACCTGGTTGAGTTCAGCCCACGAGTTCGAATGAGTCTTCCGCGGTGGTTTCAATTCTAGTTCTGTTTTCCAGGCCTTTGCAATGCTATTTGGATCTAGCCCATGCATGTGCCACCCAGTTAGGAACCTGGATGGGACCCTATCTCTGAATTCAGCTCTCAGTCTTTAGTAGTTTGGTCCGTGATCTAATCTCTGTTTGTGCAGTTTAGGAATGAGCCCCTGAGCTTATAAACAATATTTTGGGGTTTCCTTCCTGAGCTCCTCTCTCCCTGTGATCTCCTCTGTGCTTTTCAGTTTCCTGGCATTTTCCTTTTTGGTCCTTCAGCCAGAAATTTAGGGCCTAATTTAGCCTACCTTGCTGTACACTTCTTGCATCTGTGCCCTCATTCGGGGTCAAGTGATAAGAGGAAAGAGAGAGGAAAAAAAATCCACGGAGGTGTTCCCCGCGCTCTTGGGACCACACTTCTTCTGATTGGAGAGGAAGATTCCCCTTCTTCAGACTGCACGTGCTTATCGGCCCCCGCTGCTGTTGTCATTTCCAGGAGACCCCTTTATCACTCCCTTATCCCAGAACTGAGGGCTTTCCCTAAAGCTTGATCTGTCCATGCTGACTTGCACCTCTAGGTTTTAGGCTGCCTTGAAGTCAGTCTAGGAGTTCTGCAGGGAAAATCTAGTAAGCTGATTACTAGTTTTCCTTCTGCTTTCACTCCAACCCCCGTGATACTGCTGCTTCACGCATTCTGCCCAGGTCTTCATTGTTACATTCAGTGGCAGAGAGGAACCAGCATATCTGCCTTTAAAAAAATACTACAAATTATAAAGCATGCTTGTTTCAACCTGACACTGTTGCTTTTGGTTTCTTTACATATTACCACGTTCTTGGCATCTCAGATAACTTTTATAGTATTATTTTTCCTTTTCTTTCTGAGCACATTACCAAAAGTTTTTGTGAGGCAGGTCTTTCTTTAGAAGTAAATTTTCTCATTAAAAAATGATTGAAACCATTTTTTTTAGAGTTCTGCTGAGTTCACATTTCTTGGTTGACCAATAATTTTTTTCAATACACCGAAGACCTGATTCTGTTATTTTCTGGCTTCCGTTGTTGTTGGGAGTTTTGTTGTTGTGCTAATTCTGGTTCCTTTGTAGGTGATCTTTCCTTCCTTTTTGCCTGTATTCCAGATTATCTTTTGATCTGCGGTGTTCTGAAGTTTCACTCTGATGTGTCTAGTTATAGATTTATGTTCATTTTTTCTGCTTGGGATGTACCAGTCTGTGGGGTTTGATGTGAAGCCTGCAGAACTGTGTACCAGTTAACTCTCTTTTCTTCATAAATTATCCAGCCTCAAGTATTTCTCTATAGCAATGCAAAAATGGCCTAATCCACCTTCTTTGTGTCTTTTTACAGTTTTTGACTTGAAGTTTATTTTATCTAAGTGTAACTTCTCTTACTCCTTTTTGGTTTCCACTTGCATAGAATATCTTTTTCTATTCCTTTAGTTTCAGCCTATGTGCATCTTTATGAAGTGAGTTTCTTGTAGGCAAAATATAGTTGGATCTTGTTTTTTTTTTAATCCATTCAGCCACTCTGTCTTTAATTTGGAAATTTAGTCAATTTAATGTTATTATTGATAGGTAAGAACTTACTATTGATATTACATAGTTGTTTTCTGGTCATTTTGCAACTCCTCTCTCCCTTACTTTCTTTTTTACTGTCTACCTTTGTGCTTAAGTGATTTTCTCTGGTAGTATGTTTTAATTTCCTTGCTTTTTATTTTTAGTGTAGCTATTATAGGTGTTTGCTTTGTGGCTATTGTAAGGCTTACAGAAAACATCTTATAACACATTATTTTAAACTTAACCAGTTGTCATTTAAGATGAAAATTAACTTTAGTCACAAAGAAAAGGAGAAAAACTGAAGAAAACTTTACACTTTAACTCCATCTCCCTACATTTTGACTTTTCATTGTCTCAACTCACATTTTTTATAATGCCTATCTCTTAATTTTCAAACTAGAGACAGGAGTAGCTTACACATCACTATTGCAGTATTAGAGTATTTGTCTATTTGTCTATGTACTTGCTTTTACCAGTGAGTTTTATACATTTAGATGTTTTCTTGTTACATGTTAGGATCCTTTTCTTTCAGAATGAAGAGCTCCCTCTAGCGTTTCTTATAGGATAGATCCGCTGATGATCAACCTTGTCAGTTTCATTTGTCTGGGAAAGTCTTTATCTCTTTCATGTTTCATGGATAGTTTCTTGGATATAGTATTCATGACTGAAAGTTTTTTTCCTGCCAGTTGTGGTGGCTCATACTTGTAATCCCAGCACTTTGGAAAGCCAAGGCAGGAGGAAAACTTAAGTTCAGGAGTTCAAGACCAGCTTGGGCAACATTGGGAGACCTTGTCTCTATAAAAATTGAAAATTAACCAGGCTTGGTAGCTCATACCCGTAGTCCCAACTACTCGGGAGGCTGAAGTGGGAGGAGCACTTGGGCTTCAGGAAAATAGAGGCTGCAGTGAGCCATGATTGTGCCACTGCACTCCAGTCTGGGTGACAAAGTGAGACTCTGTCTCAAAAAAAAAAAAAAAAAAAAAAGTTTTTTTCTTTGCATTTTGAATATGTTTCCCATTCTGCCTTGGCCTGTATGGCTTCTGATGAAAAGTCTGTTGCCAGACAAATCAGAGCTCCTTTACATGTTATCATGTTATTGTCTTCTTTTCTCTTGTTGCTTTTAGGATCCTTTCTTTGTTCTTTTTTTTTTTTTTTTTTTTTTGAGATGGAGTCTCGATCTCGGCTCACTGCAACCTCCACCTCCTGGGTTGAAGCAGTTCTTCTGCCTCAGCCTCCTGAGTAGCTGAGATTACAGGTATGTGCCATCATGCCCAGCTAACTTTTTTTTTGTATTTTTAGTTAAAGATGGGGTTTCACCATGTTGGTCAGGTTGGTCCTGAACTCCTGACCTCATGATCCACCCACCTTGGCCTCCCAAAGTGCTGGGATTACAGGTGTGAGCCACCGCGCCTGGCCATTTCTTTGTTCTTGACCCTTGAGAGTGCGATTATTATATGCTTTGGGGTGGTCTTATTTGGATCTGAATCTATTTGGTGATATTTGAACTTCCTGTACCTGTATATTTATTTCTTTCTCTAGGTTTAGAAAGTTTTCTGCTATTATTTCTTGGAATAACTTTCTACACCTTGCTATTTCTCAACTCCCTCTCAAATTCCAATGACTCCTACATTTGCTCTTTGGAGGCTTTTCCCTAGATCTAGTAGGTGTTTTTAATTTCTTTTCATTCTTTTTTTCTTTTCTGTGTGCATTCAAACAAACAGTCTGAGCCTTAACATGCAAATTGCTGCTCCAAGATGGCCTACTAGATGCAGCCAGTAGAAACATCTCCCAGTGAGGGACCAAGACATCAGGAAGACTGGTGCACTCCTAGCAGATCTTCAGAGGGAAGGCATTGAGAGTGGACAGAGGGAAGGCACAGAGGCTGGGCTGAAGGGGAGGAAGCTGGGAACCCTGAACAGGGATACTGCACACCAGGACTCATTCTGGCCCCCACTGATTCCTGTGGAAGGGGTGAGTCTAACAGGCAAGGAGCAGCCCACCCTCACCATGGGCCTCCAGAATCCCAACAAGAGGAGAGCTCTCAACCACCAGATATACTTGAGTTGGCAGGAAGAGATGTCTAGAGAAGGGGTAGGGGCAGAAATCCTGCTGGTGCAGAGCCCAGAGAGTTCGGTGCAACAATGTCTGTACTGGAGTACAGCCAGGGAAACCCATGTCCCTAGGCTTGACTTGCTCCCATAGGACACTTTAGCCCTAGGGGCACAGTCAGACCTGAACTCTGAAGGGTGGTGTTGCCCATGAGACAGGACCAGTTTGACCTCAGCATCCCTTGGTCTGCTGGCGTCTCACAGAGCCCCAGCCTGGCTGCACCTGCCTGCAGTGCAGCTCCCAGATACCTCCTTGGGGGCCCACATCATAGCTCCTGTGCTGGTGGACCATGCCTGACCAATATATGGATCCAGCAGAGCAGCCTTCACAGATATGCACCAGGCTACCCTTGCCCTCCCTTAACTATAGCCTCCCCCATGCAGCTTTCTCTGTACACACTCACCTGTGGCCACCCACATTGCTTTGCCACTGCATGTGTTTACAGGCAAACTTTGCCTTTCCTTCCCCACCAGTGCACATGTGTGCACACCCTGCCATGCCACTGCTGCTGGCATGAATACACTCCGTTCTCCTGCCCCTCACCATACCTGTCAGTGTTGGTGGGCATGGAACACACCAGCTCTGCTACCAACAGTGCCCTGGCCCTGTGCCAAAACTGCAACTGGCACAAAGCTAGGCATGGAGAACAGCGAATCCCACCCCTTCCCTGAGCAGCCACCACCACCGATGTGAGCACACACACAACTGCACACACAGTCCTGCTCCCAACACCACCCTGTCTCCATGCTAACACCACCGCCACAAACACATGCATGGTCACTGGCAGAAGACCCTTGTGCCGCCCAAGCCATGCTACCTCTTTTGCTGCTATGAATGCCTGCATGGAGGCTGGTACCCCAGCACCCACTAGCATCCTGCCGCAGCCAAGGAGCATTCACCTTACCATGGTGCCACTGCTGTTGCTGCTGGTAAGTGCAGATGAAAACTAATCCAGTGGCCACCACCCTATGAGTAACTGGAACTCTAGTAGGAACGTAAACAGATATAGACACTTTGGGAAACAGTTTGGCAGTTTCTACAAAAGTTAGGCACACATATACCATGTGAACCAGTCATCCCCAAGCAAATTATTTCCCTTATAGATATTTACCCAACAGAAATAAAATCATATGCCCATACAAAGACTTGTTCACAAATGTCCATAGCAGCTGTATTATAATTTATATATATGTCAATATTTTGACTATCACAAGAGTCAAAAACCGGAAACAACTCAAATGTCCATCAGCAAGTGGCAGATTTTTCTTAAGTTGCAGTATATACATATAGTGGAACACTACTCAACAGAAAAGAATAGTGAACTGTGGACACAGGTCACAACAAAGATAAATCTCAAAATAATTTTGCCGAGTGAAAAAAGCCAAATAAAAAACCCTGCATATTTTATAATTCAACTTATATAAAATTTGAGGAAATGCAAACTAATTTATAGTGACAAAAAGTAGATCAGTGGTTGCCTGGGGTCATAGGTGCAGAATGCAGGGAGGAAGGAACCATAGGAAGGGGTCATAAAAGGGCACAGGGACACTTTCAGAGTTGATGGATATCATGGTAGGTAGAAAATGTCCATGTCCTAATCCCCAGCATTTGTGAATGTTTTCTTACATGGTAAAGAGACTTTGCACATGTGATGAACAATCTTGAGGCCAGGGGCGGTGGCTCACGCCTGTAATCCTAGCACTTTGGGAGGCCCAGGCGGGTGGACTGCCTGAGCTCAGGAGTTCGAGACCAGCCTGGGCAACATAGTGAAACCCCCTCTCTACTAAAATACAAAAAATTAGCCAGGTGTGGTGGCGGGTGCCTGTAATCCCAGCTACTCTGGGGGCTGGGGCAGGAGAATCGCTTGAACCCAGGAGGTGGAGGTTGTAGTGAGTCGAGATCACGCCACTGCACTCCAGCCTGGCGACAAGGTGAGACTCTGTCTCAAAAACAAACAAACAAAAAAAACCAACTCACCAGAAATATGTTGCTAAGGAGCAAATAAAACATGTATCCAAACACTTCCATATGAGTTTAAAATACTTATGATAAATCAAGAAAAGGGCAAACATGTCTTCTAGAGCTGGGATACACTCATCTCCTCCCTTAGACAACAGAACTCCAGGTTTGCCAGCCTGGATTCCAGGACTTACATCAGCAGCTTCACAGGTTCTTAGGACCTTGGCCTCACACCAAGAATTACACAATCAGCTTCCCTAGACCTGAGGCCTTTAGACTTGGATTAAGCCATACTACCAGCATCCCGGAGTCTCCAGTTCACCAATGGCCTGTTGTGGGACTTCTCAGCTTCCATAATCACATGAGCCAATTCCCATAATAACCCCCCTCATATATGTGTATGTGTGTGTATATGTATCTATAAATCTATATTTATATATATATCTGTGTGTGTAATCTATATGTGTGTCTCTCTATCCTATTGGGTCTGTCTCTCTAGAGAACTCTAGTACACAACTATTGCCTGTTTAATAATGACAATTCAGGTAGTAGAAGTACACACACATTTAAGAATAAATTTTTAAAAGATATCAATAAAAATTTGGTGATGAGAGGGAGGAAATATCTACAAGCCAATTTCATCATTGCTCATACTAAGAAATATTTTAAATGAGGAGATTAAGGTCTTTATATCAAATAGAAACTATAAAGATTATTGCTAGATCAAAATTATAAACCTTCTTGAATAGTCTAACTGCAATAAGAAGCCACAGAGTAAAACATTATAATTTATATATATAAAAAATCACATGAAAAACTTAAAAATAGAGCATATCAATAGATGTAAATGATGTAAATGAACATAGCATGTATTACAAGAAAAATATTTTCATATTAGATTACAAAGAAAAACCCAACTGTCTACTATACACAAAAGGTACATTTAAAATAAACTAATTCTGGAAGTTGAAAATAAAAGGATGGGCAAATGTATAACAGACAAAAAAAGTATCACTCATAATCTTAAAATTAGATATTATAGGCCAGGCACCGTGGCTGACACCTGTAATCCCAGCACTTTGGGAGGCCAAAGCAGGCAGATCACGAGGTCAAGAGATCGAGACCATCCTGGTCAACATGGTGAAAACCCGTCTCTACTAAAAATACAAAAATTAGCTGGGTGTGGTCGTGTGCGCCTGTAGTCCCAGCTACTTGGGAGGCTGAGGCAGGAGAATTGCTTGCTTGAACCCGGGAGGCGGAGGTTGCAGTGAGCCGAGATCATGCCATTGCACTCCAGCCTGGTGACAGAGCAAGACTCCATCTCAAAAAAAAAAAAAAATTAGACATTATAGAATTCAGAGCAGAAAGCAAGGCTACGTGTTTTTTTTTTTTTTTTTTTTTGAGATGGAATCTCGCTCTGTCGCCCAGGCTGGAGTATAGTGGCGTGATCTCAGCTCACTGCAACCTCCGCCTCTCGGGTTTGAAGCAATTCTCCTGCCTCAGCCTCCCGAGTAACTGGGACTACAGGCACGTGCCACCATGCCAAGCTAATTTTTGTATTTTTAGTAGAGACGGGGTTTCACCGTGTTGGCCAGGATGGTCTCGATCTCTTAACCTCGTGATCTGCCCGCCTCGGCCTCCCATAGTGCTGGGATCACAGGCATGAGCCACCACGCCCAGCCTTTTGAAGGCTAGAGGGAATAATTCACAATAAAAATATAACAATAATCCATATCAATATAAAATAACAATAGCAATTTTTATGGTAGAGAAAATAAAAGAGATTTACAAACAAACACTGACTTTGATTATGCCAACTGTTTCCTGCCAGGGATTCTGATTGCTATGTGTGTGTCCCATAAAAATATCACACATGTCATCTTTTATGTTCTCTCTTATTTTGCTACCTAAATGTTCTTAAGTATGGTGACCACATGTTAAATATGCAGAGCCACAAGATGAAGGGAGCCTGAGTCCCTAACTTAGTGAAGGAGGACTACGCACCAATTAGGAACCATTGTTTTAAATTTATCAGGAGTGAAACAAAAGAACAACTATTGTCTTTGAACCATTATTTATTTGGGCTGATTTGTTACAGCAGCTGTTACCTTAACAATGTACCTTCTAATCAATTAATGAGAAACCCAGTCATTCTCCTATGGGCCCTTCCCAAAAGCCTAGAGACAGAGTTTCCAGCCTATTTGTTTAAATATTAAGGGTAGCTTGTGAGTGAAAATCAGGATGACTTTGGGAACCAGGGACTCCCTGGAATGGGTACCTGCATGGCAGAGAACCATTAAGGAAAGTGGACAACCAGGAGACTATGATGTCATAGAAAGTAAGAGATAAAAGTATTTAAGCAAAGTGAAAGTGGCTGTGTCAAATGCCACCAAGAATCCACATAGACTGCTGTTGACTGTGATAACTATGATCTATATCTGACCAGCAGACTTCCTACCCGTTCTGGTAAAGTATCCAAATAATAAGGTGGTATGGGGAAAATAGGCATCCCAGTGACCCAGAGTTAGTCAAGGATAGCCTCTTTGGCCACATATAAGAGACACAGATGTAGATCTCCTGGAGATGTGATGAGAGGCCTTGGAGATTTCTGTAAGATTTGTATAATACAGGACCCTTTTGCTAGGTTTGGAAATTTCTCTAGTATTCAAATATCTTAAAACTTCATGCAGTATGGAATCAGGCAATTCTCTGGAGCAGTAACCAAAGCCAGAGATACAAGCAACGAATTGAGCCATACGGGCATCAGACTTACCCAGAATGGGATCAATTCCTCCAGATACCATAAAAGTTGATGTGATATTAAACTGACAAATAGAATCATCAAATATAATCCTTTCCGTATATTTACTGACATTTGGATGTCCCCATGAGAAATGTATGTTTAAGTCTTGAGTATATTTTTTTCTTTTTTGAGATGGAGTCTCGCTCTGTCACCAGGCCGGAGTGCAGTGGCGCGATCTCGGCTCACTGCAACCTCTGCTTCCTGGGTTCAAGCGATTTTCCTGCCTCAGCCTCCCGAGCAGCTGGGATTATAGGCACACATCACCATGCCCAGCTAATTATTATTATTTTTTTTTTGGTAGGGACGGGGTTTTACCATGTTGGCCAGGATGATCTCGATCTCCTGACCTCATGATCTGCCTGCCTCGGCCTCCCAAAGTGCTGGGATTACAGGCATGAGCCACTGTGCCAGGCCTTTTGTCCATTTTTTATTGAACTGCCTATTTCTTCTTACTGATTTGTAGAAAGTCTTTATTCTAGTCTGGCAGGTATTTTCTTTCAACACTTCCAAGATTATTCATTGTCTCTGGCAGCTAATGTTTCATTTGAGAAAATGCTACCTGTATTATTGATGCCCATGTGAAAGTAATGAGATTTTTCTCCACATTGAAGATTTCTCTTTAATCTGTGGCTGATGTTGTCTTTGAAGGATTCTCGACCATCCCTGTATCTCTCTCTCTGTCTCTTTCTCACCCACTTTGGGTTGGGACCTCAAAGAGCTGCACCCTAGCAGTAAAGGTGGGGTGGAAATTCAGGCCTTAAAGGGGTTAAAACCCAGCATCAAATAATCTTAGTTCCTGATTGAATTAAGGTGATCTGTGACTGCTAGATCCTCAGTCTAGCTCTCTGCACATCAAATATTTTCTAAAGGAAGGTAAGTCTAGTTAGAAAGTTAGACCAACAGACTTAAGCTAGGCTTTACAGAACTGATAGGTTCGAAGTACTTCTAATCCACCGTTGCCTGAATGCCATGGCATTTTATCTTTTAGTTATAATAGTTAACTCTTCTCTTCTACAATGATATGTGATTTATTGTGTAATGTTGCTTTTGGCTAATTAAAAAAAAAAAAAACTCTGCCTCTGCCCTGGAGAAGAGAACATACTAACACCATTCATTAGCTTAGCAGAAATTTAGAGACAACCCTGTGATTTTGAATAAAGATCCCTCTATGGGCCAGAAACGAATACAAAGGACCTGCTGTTAAGCCGCTGTGAAATGGAATGAGAGAAAAATGAAGAGATGAACTTGAAACTGGGGTTCTCAGCCTAATAGAATCGGCGCAGCTCCAGAACTCAGGATGCTTTCAATATCATTTTTACAGACAGCTGCTATATTGCCAAACTCCAGAGGACACCTTCCACATGGAATACAACATAAATGGTACCCTGTGGAGTTTTGTAATAGCATGACCCTACATGAGTGCAGGCGGACTAGGGAGCGAAGGACCAATCAAAGCCAGAACACTGAGCTTTAATGATTCCCGAAGGCAATTTGAGCCTGTTGTAGAAATAAGGGGAGGTGATTTCATAAGACATCTAGAGGTGAGCAGTCCACGTAGGATTACCACAAACATAGATTCAGAGATCACAGTAAGCCTCTCATAGGCACAGGTGCCTGAACAGATTATCTGAGTAAAAGAGTCGTTATATCAGACCCTCCTGAGAGATGAGGTGGGAGAATTTGAAAGCTGGACTGAGGATATGACTGTGCTGTGCAGAGATGGGGACACTTGCTGAGGAAACACACGAGGATGGGGAGTAGATTGGGGAGGAAAATGGGAGTGAGGTGACACATCTAGAAAATGGGAGAGCCGCTGGGTGTGGTGGCTCACACCTGTATGTAATCCCAGCACTGTGGGAGGCCGAGGCGGGTGGGTCACCTGAGGTCAGGAGTTTGAGACCAGCCTGACCAATATGATGAAACCTCATCCCTACTAAAAATACAAAAATTAGCCAGGCTTGGTGGCACATGCCTGTAATCTCAGCTATTTGGGAGGCTAAGGCAGGAGAATTGCTTGAACCTGGGAGGCGGAGGTTGCGGTAAGCCAAGATCGTGCCGCTGCACTCCAGCCTGGGCAACAAGAGTGAAACTCCATTTCAGAAAAAAAGAAAAAAGAAAAAAGAAAATGAGAGAGCTCAGGGAGACAACCCAGTCATAGGAAGTGATGACAGGGCTTCCGTGACCTGCATCATCCAGCTTTTCTTCTTACCTTTCAAACTAGGATCATTCTCACTTCCTGGCTTCATTTTCTTTTTTCTTTTTTTGAGACAAGTTTCGCTCCATCGCCCAGGCTGGAGTGCAGTGGTGCGATCTCGGCTCACTGCAACCTCCAACTCCTGGGTTCAAGCAATTCTCCTGTCTCAGCCTCCCGAGTAGCTGGGACTACAGGCACGTGCCACCACGCCCAGCTAATTTTTGTACTTTTAGTAGAGATGGGGTTTCACCTTGTTGGTCAGGCTGGTCTTGAACTCCTGACCTCAGGTGATCCACCTAAGTCGGCCTCCCAAAGTGCTGGGATTACAGGCATGAGCCACCGTTCCTGGCCTCATGTTCTTTTTTATATCCCTAATTCTTGTTAGGGCCAAGGACACCTTGGCCCTCTGCCTCTTCTTTTTCCCTTGTTCATAAATTCAGCTCCTAAGTCATCCAAACTGTAGAACTCACCTCCATTTTTTTTTTTTTCTCTTGAGACGGAGTTTCTCTCTGTCGCCCAGGCTGGAGTGCAGTGGCTCGATCTCGGCTCACTGCAAGCTCCGCCTCCCGGTTCACGCCATTCTCATGCCTCAGCCTCCCGCCACCACGCCCGGCTAATTTTTTGTATTTTTTTTAAGTAGAGACGGGGTTTCACCATGTTAGCCAGGATGGTCTCCATCTCCTGACCTCGTGATCCGCCCACCTTGGCCTTCCAAAGTGCTGGGATTACAGGCGTGAGCCACCGCGCCCAGCCAGAACTCACCTCCTTTCTTTTTTCAGTTCAGCCTCTCCAATTACCTGTTTAATTTCTTCCCATAAGAACCACAGTATTACATCAAACTTAAACAACCTTCCTTCTGAATCTTTGTATTTCTCGCCAGTTGTGCCGCAACTGAAAACCTCAGCGTGACCTCTGCCTCTTCCTCATCCCCTCCCTCTCTTCTGACTCTCCTTGCTACCATTCCATGCAACCACAAAAACTTCTAGCAACCAAGTCAGATTCTGTGAGTCTATGGTCTGTGGCTATCTTAAAATTCTTTCGTCATCTACTGAAAAAAGTCATATGATGGACGGAAGCAATACACAGAACAGGACGGGACATTAGAAGGTTGAGGGCATCAGTAGGTGAATCTGGATGGCTCACACATGTCTATTTCTACCGTATTAACCGTATTGTATATGTTCCTTTTAAAAATATATGGGACATAAGTAATTTGAATGCATAAGATTCTTTAAAAGACTCAAAGAATCTTTATCTCTCCTTTTTTTCCCATTACATCAGATCCATCCGAGGCTTTCATTGGCCTCTAGATTTTATGATCAGTCTTTTAACTGTTATTGCTATGACCACAATCCTGGGCTTTGCTTCCTTCTAGCAAATGGAATCTGACTCTGCTGCATTTTGGTCCCAGGTCATTTCTGCCCTTATCTCTCCAACCTTCATTTTCCTGTTATAAGATGGTGATAGTGATACCAACCTCACAGAGAAGTTGTGAGGATAAATTTTTTTTTTTTGAGACCGAGTTTCACTCTTTGCTGTATAGGCTGGAGTGCAATGGTGCAATCTCGGCTCACTGCAACCTCTGCCTCCTGGGTTCAAGTGATTCTCCTGCCTCAGCCTCCCAAGTAGCTGGGATTACAGGCACCTGCCACCACACCTGGCTAGTTTTGTATTTTTAGTAGAGAAGGGGTTTCACCAAGTCGGTCAGGCTGGTCTCGAACTCCCAACCTCAGATGATCTGCCCCCCTGGGCCTCCCAAAGTGCTGGGATTACGGGCATGAGCCACTGTGCCCGGTGTGATAAATTGAGATTATATATTTAAAATTTCTAACATAGAGTCTGGCCTACTAGTTCCTTCTTTATCCATTTATCTCCAGTATCTAGGACTGTGGGCTAGATGGTATGTTTTAAGGATGCAAGGATAGAGCATGATGAGAAGAGGGTTTATCAAGAGTCCTGGGACAGGACTGAGAGGAAGGCTGGGATGCAGCTGGGGAGGGATCATGCAGGAGGGCTGTGCTGGGAGTTGCACCAGAGGCGTTGCTGCAGGTAGCCTAAGGGATGGCTTATTGAGGATTCAGAGAGGCCTCAAGCCAAAAACCCTTGTCAAGAGCCAGGTTTCTTAGCCCCAGTGGACTCAGTCATCCAGAACACTTGTCATTTAACTTAGAGAGGTTCCAAGATACCCTTGGAAAAAGCATTGATTGCTAGAAAAAATTTTCATTCCAGGAAAACTTTTCTTTCCTTCTTTGGAATCTGAATAAAGGGGCAGGAAACAAAGCAAGGTCTCTCCTCCCACCTTCCACCACCACACATATAATCCGTTTTGTTATTTAATCATATATTTTTACTTGTATCTAAGCCAGGTCCTTTGGCAATGAGGAGGTGTGCAGGGATCGGGGTGAGGAAGTGCAGGACTGGATGGACATTTAAGGTAGGGCAGCTTTGGGGGATGCCACTTCCAAATGCAATGGGGACCATCACTGTGTATTCCCCATAGTTGTGTGGTGAGCAGCTCTGGATACCCTGACCACAAAGCTTTGGGGACAATTTGTTCACCAGAGGATGTGAGGAGGACGGAATACTCAAAGGCACTCAGGGATGGTGGAGCTTTGGAGCTGAGGCGGGCAAGGCCTCTCAGATGGTCACGCTGTTCTCTACCATGCTGGGTCAAAGGTACTCACAGGGCAGGTCCAGGACTGCATTCCGGACCTCAATCTCCTTGTCCATGGAAGCCAGTTCCTCCTGGAATTGTCTCAGCACAGCTTGGGGCTCAGGACCAGAGAAATATTTCTCCTCATGCTGAGAGGCAGAAGACAAGTTGGCTCAGCCCCTTGGGACTCTCAGCCCAGAATACTTCCCCTCCTTTGAGCTGCCTCCTTCCCAGGACCCAGGCATTTGCTTCTCACCATGACAGGCTGGCGTCTGCCAAGGAACTTTGTGAAGGTCTTTTGCATACGTGCCTGGTGGAGATTGGGCAGTAAGTCCACTATATCCTTCTCTGTCACATCCTTAGAGATGGGCGGGGGCTTCTGCATGGTGCATGGGCCATTAGGGATCCAGGAGTACCAGTCCAGCTGCAGGGAGGAGAGCCCAGAGAAATGCAGGCTGATGACCTGGGCATTTGATCCCCCACTTCTCCATCCCAGGAGCCGTTGTGGGATGATCACATAGGTTACCTGGCCCAGGTGGTTAGAAGCATGCTGACCTGTGCATGTGAAGATGCACATGGTGACAAAGTGGCAGAGCTGAGCCCGGGACTCTAAGGAGATGAGGAACCTGGTGAAATGAGAATCCTGGTGAAATGAGAATCAGAGATCTCGAAACCAGAACACGAAATAGGTCTCACGCAGGGAAAGCTATGTGGAGATACAGAAAAGAACTTTTCTGTGGTTCTGGCCTGCACACCCTAGGACTCCCACCTTGTGTGTGCTCAAAGGTTAATGCACTTGGGATGAACCTTGAGCTATGGGGAGAGGGGAGGGAAGAGTGAGGGAAAATACCTAAGAGAAGTTTTGTATCTAGTTCCAGAGGAAGCTCTTAGTGCAGAGGAGAGAGAACACTGTGTAGGAACAGGGCTGGGGAGATCAGGAGTGCTTGTTAGCATTTCTGGACACACTCTGGAGAATTCTCAGCTTCCTTGGGCAGGTGGGGTGTCTCATGATGATGTGAGAAGAAGCAGATTGTTTGCAGAGGAGTGGGTGTTGACAGGGTTCAGTGGGGAAGGATCCATGTCTCACCCCTGGTCTTGGGCCCTCTGCAGTCCAGTCTCAGTCATCTCTCTGCACCAGGCCTGCAGCTCTAGATCATCCTTCATGGCTTGGTCACTATTGTAGAAAAGCCCAACCATCCCCTCCACGTACCTATTCCCTGGGAAGAAGACACTCAGTCTCAGGGGCCAATGCAGGACCTTCTGGACCTACAGTCCCCCGCCCCTCCGTTCATTGCCTCTCTGTGCCACCTTCACCTACCGGCTGATGATTCCCCACAGCCTGATGGCATCTTAGCCATAAAAAGAAGATTTCACATCCAGGAGCCCACGGTCAGCCAGGTCATCAGGAGGACAGAGGGAATGATAGGTCAAACAAGCCATGGCTCTCTGAAGAATGTCCACGTGGCTTCCACTACCAGTGCTCACCACCTGAGGATAACCCACAGCCATGCCAAGTTGCAGAGGGAGGGAGATGAGTATCAGGAAACTCCAGGCCTATGATCCTACTCTAGCCCTTTTAAGCAGGAAGCTCTTCAGGCATGAGGCAGGTTTGGGAGAGGCCTTCCATGGAGGAAGGAGAGCTTGGGGGAGGAATGGGAAAGGGAAACAACCCCTAGGATTCTTCCAATATTGAACCATCCTCCCCTTCACCCATCCATTTCCATACCAGGTCAAAAATTCCCCATTCGGAGACAAGACTACTCTGGGCCAGCGTGTTGATCGCCATGGTGTAGCGGAAGTGGGGGATCAGGAGCTGATTATGGAAGAAAGAAATGGGACATGGTCAAATAAGAGAGTTCCCAGCATCCATGAGGGAAGAGGATGTTAAAGGAAGTGACAGAAAAGAAGGGAGAGGATGGGTCTTTATGAAATGGAGAGACTTCTCGTTAAATTGGAGTGGGTCAGGGTAACATTTGGGAATATAGAGATGGGAAAATGTCTTCTCAGAGCATCCCGTGGTGAAAGTTTTAGGAGTTCACTTATTTCCACAGTTTCATGTCCTTGGAAGAATTCTAAAAATCCCATATCCTCGCAGGTACCCACATATGAGCCCATCCCTTTTTGCCTTCACCCTCCTATAATTATATTCCTTCTCCTCTCTCTGTCATACAAACATGTGCAATATTGGATACCCTAAAGAAAACCTGTGCTTGACCCCCACATCCTTGTCTTGCCATCTCCCTGTTTCTTGCTTTCCCTTTCACAGCAAATCTTCACTCAGTGTTGTCTTTGCTTACCCACCTCACATTTGCTGCTCACCCCCATGAATCAGGCTTCCTCCACTTCCCTGAGATGGCGCATGTCCATTTATTAACCAATGACTTCCATATTGAGAAATCCAAATGTCACTTCTCTGTAACTTTCTTGATCTCTCAGCAGCACTTGAGACAGATAATCACGCGTCCCTCTTGAAACGCTTTCTTTTCCTGGCTGCCATGGATTGCACTTTTTGATTTTCCTCCTACCTCAATGAGGTTCCTTCTCTTGTTTCTTTTCTCACTCTGCTCCCTTCTCTCAGTCTGTAAATGTTGGTTCACCCTAGAGTTATATCTCGGTCAAATTCTCTACAAACCCTAGAGAACTTCATCCAGTACAATGACTTTGATACTTTTGTTTTCTAATGACTCTAAAATCTGTATTTTCAACCTACACCTCTTCTAGGAACTCCAGACTCACATATCCAGTTGCCCTCCTGACATGTGCAAATGGGTCTTTATAGGCATTGGAAGCCCCACATGGTCAGAAAATAACTCTTGATTCTTCTCCCCGCTAAGTAACATGGCTTCTTCTCTCATCTCCTCCCACTTCTTCTTCCTCCTCATCCCAACTCATGCCCTACACTTTAATCTCACCCAATCTCAGCCATTATCCATGTTCCCTTCTTTCCTCGCCTCTTTAGATCTTTGTGGCTGTAATGTTCCACCCCTCACTTGCCCACCTGGAAACCTCCTCAGCCAAAATTTCAACTCCTTTGCAAAACCTATTCTCACTTCTCCCCCCAACTCATAGTAAGTGTGTGTCCTGGGTGTTTCCATATTACTGTGTATGTGTACGCGTGTGTGTATGTATCTGTGTATGTGTCTCCACATATAAATTGATTGCTGCTAGACTGAAATGTACAAGGTTAGACTCTTTGTAGGAGTCTGAAATATGAAGGACAGTCAGATACAGAATGACAGAGATGCTGAAGTACCTTGTAGATAGGATGGAGGCTAGGCAAGCTTCTCATTGTAGCCACAGCAATAACCTCAGCAATCAAGTGTCCCCTCAGCAGATGTGACTGTAACTGCTGCAGCTGGAAATCAGAGCTCCGGACCCAGGTCTTGGCCAGGAGCCAGGCCATGGGGGGATGCGAGGGCAGAAAGAGCAGAGGTGGGGGACATCCGTGTCAAGGTGGCTGGAGCTAGAGCAGGAGAGAGAGTGGGGGCTGAGAACTTGTGTATCTAAGTCCCTAAAGGAGATCAGTGTCTGGTAGAAAAATACCTGGGCCCTCTCACCTGGATGACCATGGGTAAGAGTCCTCCATCAGGCTGAAGCTTCAGCATGACCAAAGGGGCTGCCACGCATTGCTGCTTAAAAATGATGACATTAGGCTTGACTCCATCCAGCAAGGAGAAATCCACTTCAAACAGAGATCCAGCCTACAGGGCCAGGGGCAGGAATAGAAAACAGGGTTGGAGTTGTTTCTGGAGCTGCCCTTCTCTCATTTTCCAGGGTGGATCCTTCCTCTACCCACCCAAGTCTTTTTTACTTTAAACACCAATCACTTTCTGCAGAACCAAAAAACTGAATGCAAAGTTTTCATGACTGATGTCTTCCTTCAGACTTGGAGCTCCCTGCAGCGAAGTTTCTGGTTTTCCACCACATAAGGCCACTGCATTCTTCACGTATCCCCTCTTCTGCCAGCTTTAGCCAATGTAGCAAAAATATTTCCTTTAGCTACCCATCTCCCCCCAAAAACAGATTCAGCTTTTAGCTCTCCAAGGCTTTGTTTAGTTTTTCTTGCTATTTCTCTCCAGAAGCTTGCGCTTTTCCCTAAGGCTGATATATGTTCAATGAAGAAGGAAGAGAGGAATGTGGAGAAAGAAAAGAAGATACAGGAGGAGATGTTGTAGATCAATGTTCTCAATCAGGGGCAATTCCTCCTCTCCCCAACCCCAGGACATTCAGCACTATCTAGACACATTTTTGGTTGTCACAACCGGGGGGATGCTGCTGGCATCAATGGGTAGAGGCCAGGAATGCTACTAAACACCCTACGATCCACAGGAAAGCCCCCCCCCCCCCCCCCCGCCAGCCAACAGAGAATTATGTGGTGCAGAATGTTAATAGTGCCAACGTTGAGAAACCTTGGGTGTAGATGGAGGAGATGAGAGAAGGGGCTGGAGATGGGAGGAGAAGGGAGGTGGGGGTAATGGCTGGGATGGTGGATGGGCAGAAAGCCCAGCAGCACCTGGAGTTCTTTCTCCAGCTGGGTCTTCAAGTCTTCCATCCCTGGAGGCAGCACCAGGCAGGCTGGGAGCCTTGAAGAACACCTCAGGAGCATGGGGTTTGCACCATTGAGAAACTGGTACCCAAAGAAGGCATCATTCTTCCAAGAATCATAAACCCGCTCTAGGAACATCAATTGGGGAGCACCCTGTGAGCTCTGAGCTCCGAACTCCTAATCCCACTGATCTAATCCTCCATCCCCCTCCTTTTTCAAATCCCTGGGTTGGAAGTCTGTATATTGGTTTTGGGAGGTTGTGAAAACTGACCAGCCAGGACAGTCTTTCCATGTGGGAATATTTTTTTGAAATCTTCCAGCCTTTTCACACAATTTATGAAATCCAGTGTCCCCTTAATGGCCAAGTCCTTCAACCTGTGGAAAGAATGGAGTGCAAGAAGATCAAGGAAGCATCCCACCTTGTGCCCTAGGAAGCAAGTGCCCAGCCTCTACCTGGTACTCACCCTTTTGCTAGGGAGACATTAAAGTCTAAATCCTTATCCTCGAGGAATCGCTCGTCCCTAGGAAGGTCCGGTTGCCTATTCCCTGCTATAGGCAGGATTAACCCATCTTTCCAGGAGCCCCACCTGGAGGAAGAACACACAGGTAGGGGTAAGGAGGCAGGTGGCAGGTTTCTTGGGATCTGGTAGGGGATCAAAGACTTCCTGGGGCTCAACGGTACACCTTCCTTCTTTCCTCGAGCTCCTGTTCCCGATATTTCTTAAACAGGTTCTGGGGGTCATCACTCACGGTCCGGGCTGGGGGAGAGGGACAAGAGCACATGCCCTCCCTGGTCACCCCTCCGCGCTCGGGTCTCCCCATCAGCCACCCTCCCCCTTCACTTCTCCCCATCTCCCTCATCTCTCATTTTCCCTCTTTTACAGTAGCCTCCCCCCACCCGCTTCTTCCTCCAGCCTGCCAGGGGCTGTGCCCCTTCTCCACCGAGCTCACCAGTACCCTCAGGCAGGCAGATAATTCCGTGGCCCTGCACCCAGCGGTAGCAGGGGAAAAAGGCCTCGCCTTGGGTCCCCGGGCCCTGCACTGAGATCCACTTGCAGAACCAGTCGAGACTCAACAGCACGTTGTGTTTGCGCAGCTTCACCATCAGGAGGCGCCCCAGGTGCAGGGGGACGTCGATCTCAAACTCTGCCTCCTGCGCGACAGTACACAGCTCAGGTTTTGGGGTCTTCAGGGAGGACGGCGGGGTCGGTGAACCTTCAGAGAATCCTGGCTCCGTTTCCCCTCCACAGCACAGCCGGGGAGAGGTGGAGGTGAGGAGGAGCAGCTGGTACTGCGGGGCGCCAGCCTCCCCCCGGGCCTGCCGTGCCCACCCCAGCGGGCGTCTCTGTCCTTCCGCTCGGGCAGGAAAATGCCTCTCATCTCTCCTGTTCCTCTCGCTTTTCCTATCAGGCGCACCAAGTGCACCCGACCTCAGCCCCTACCCCGCTTCCCAGGTTTCTCATGGGTGGGGCAGCAGCACCCTCCGAATGGCCCCGGCCCCCAGTGACACCTCTGAGTCCCAGGGCCCCAGCTCTCACCGCAGTCCGCGCTCACCTTTCCCCACACCGGTGGCAGCTGCTTCCCTAGGTCTGCCTCCCCGTGCTCGCCCACCAGCCATAGCTGCACCAGGTTGGGAGAGCCCGCCAGGAGCAAATCCCCGGTGGCTACGCGGACCGTGTACTTGCCCATCTTGCCCGGAGATCCGGGGAGAAATCAGCTTTAAAAGGATCTGAGACCCAGCTCCCAGGGAACCACGCCCAGCCCAGAGTGGCTGTTGTATTTGGGTTTCAGGCTCCCCACCTCCCACCCACAGATTCCTCCCCGACTAGGAGGAACGCTGGGACTGGCGCCAGGCTAGGGTCTCTGTATCCAGAGTTTCTCCCGGCGGCTCTGGAAAGGGCAGCCTCACCCTTATTCACTTGGCAAACACTCCCTGATGCCAGTTTCACACCCTGCCATGAGCCAAACACAGCAGCCTACGGACGATGACAGCTAAACACTAGCTCCCACCCAATTTTGGTGAATACATAAATAAGATTGCCACGGAAGTGAAATGGCTTGATCATAGGGGTATTTTTCAATGGAAAGTTGACACTCCCCAGACACTCCTGCTCACCCACGGCTCGCCTCTCTCCTGGACCTCCTGGGCTATCGTGAACAGAAGGGCTTGAACAGCCCTTCCACCTCCTCATGTTGAAAGAGAAATAAAGGGCCATTGTGTTTTCATTGAATGGGGGTCCATAATAAGAGCTCTTCTAGGTCTTTCTTGCATAAGCTACATCCAGATGAGTTGACATTTATTTGAAATAAATGTCTAGAACCTAAAGGTTCTTGTGGGGAAAAAAACTAAATGCAGCCTCTATTTAGATCTTTACAGTTTTCTCAAAACCTTTTATAGTTGTATGGCTGACTCCTAGTCATCAAATTGACAGTGACTTTTAAAAGATTATTGTTTATGTAGTCATAAAATATTCAACTTATTTTTAAAAAATACTGGTATGTTTATACTCCTATTTCATTAGTTTGTCTATAAATTTCATCATTACAATAACAAATATAACTGATATAAACAGTTTTTTTTTCTTTTGAGACAGTCTTGCTCTGTTACCCAGGCTGGAGTGCAGTGGCATGATCTCGGCTCACTGCCACCTCCGCCTCCTGGGTTCAAGCGATTCTCATGCCTCAGCCTCCTGAGTAGCTGGGATTACAGGCGCCCGCTACCACGCCTGGCTAATTTCTTTTTTGTATTTTTAGTAGAGATGGGGTTTCACCACGTTGGCCAGGCTGGTCTCAAACTCCTGACCTCAAGTCATCTACCCACATCACCCTCCCAAAGTGCTGGGATTACAGGCGTGAGCCACTGTGCCTGCCATAAACAGTTTTGGAAGTTTACACAACTATTCTTGATAAACATAAAGCTCAACTGGTGGACATCAAAGTGCCGGGCAGGTCAGTTTTTTTTTTTGGAGGAGATGGACAGTGTCAGTCTCCTGATAAGTTGGTGATGGGTAGGTAATTTAAAAGCTTCTATTATAAAATCTAGTCTCTCTGACACTGCCCTGTCCACTGCAGTCACATCTCCCAATACTGAAGAATCCTGAGAATACGAGCGGTCATGACACTTACTCACGTCATTCACCAGTAAAACCCTCTATCCTTCCTCCTCAAAATCAGGAATGCTCTCCTATCCTCCCCATTGACCCCCACCCCTCACAAGCTTCACCTCCACTCTGTGCCCTACCATTATCCTCTAGAGCCTCAACTTCTCTTTGAAGAAGATCCTTCTAACATTTTGGCAACATATTCCCTCCACTTAACCTCTAATTCCCATTTTCAGTTTCAGTCACCGACCAGTGCAATAACAGCTTAGACTTCATTTGTCACTTAAAACTCACCTATAGTATATTACCCATTTTGTGGTTTATCCACTCAGCCCATGAGCCACTCTCCCCTTCCTGAAGGTTCTGACTGGAGAGAGAAGAAAGAGAGAGAACAATTGAGTTTCTGAGGGTTTTCCAGGTCCTGTGAAATCCAGCTCAATTCTCTTCCTTGGGTTCTGTGAGACACCCAAGCGGCTTTCCAATAAATCCCACTTTGTTGCTTAAGTTAGCTTGAAGTAGGCTTCTAGAACAATTAACTCTACCATATATAAGACAAAAAAAAATTCCTGTCAGAAGGGAATTGCAGTGAGTCTCAAGAGTTGAAGTATAAACATGAACTTGTGTTCCTTTTCTAATAACTCTTCCTTTCTCCTGAGTAGCGGTTTGCTTAACAGTTTCGTGGCCAACTCCACAATTTTCCAATCATTCTTGTTTAATAGTATACTCTTGTTTCAATATTCAAGATTGCTTCTTTTATAGCTTCCATATCAAAGTCCATTCTAGACTCATCTCCTTGCCTCCAGCCTCCTTTCCTAAACTATGTTCCTCTCCACCTGTCCTAACTCAAGCTAAACCTGTTTTTGAACCTAGAGGCTTACAGTAAAGGAGAGGGCTTATCTTTTTATCTTTTTTTTTAAAAATGAACTTTCCCTTTTTTCTCTCTCTTTGAGTCTCATATTCTCATACATCTCCTATGAAGGAAGCAAAGAGAGAATGAAGAAACCACTTAGTAAGTAGTCAAATGTATCTCTGCCATCTGCTACTGGCTACCTGTGTGAACATTATATGGTTCTTATAAGCAATGTTTGGTTTTCTTGGAGCAATGTTCAGCTTCATGCCTATCTTTGCTACCAAAAGAACTCCTTCTAGAATGAAATCCGTATTTCATCGGGACACTATCCCAACGTCATTTTCAGGTTGGATGTTCCATTGTTTAGCCTGGAGAAACTGCAGTCTGATGGTTTCTGCCCTTCTGCTAGTCTCCACGACCCTTCATATGGAGCCACAGGAATCCCTGACATGCTCTTGTTTACCCTTTAAGGGCTGCAGAGAAGTAAAATGAGTTGAAAATGGCCTGCATCTTCTTCTAAGGCACAATACATTATGATTATTTCAGGCTTGGCACTCTTGACCAGTGTCTCATTAAAAAATGCTCAGTGAAATTTCTTCATTCAAACAGTAGCAAACATGAGTTGCTATATTAAAATATGCTCCCAAATTCAGAAAATACATGCCAAATAGCCCCTTCTTCTCCATAATGGAGGAATAAGACTGTGCAATGCTCTATACTGCTAAGATCTCAGAACTCTTCCATAATAACTTTCAGTATTCTACACCTCAGTGATGGTACTAGGAGATTCATATTCTGCCAATTTTCCCATATCAGTCAAGGACTCAATATAAAACAGTTGGAACACTTAAATTAGAATAATTAGAGGAGGGTTTATTTACAAAGGAACAACTTATGGTGGATAGGGTGTGATGGAACCAAAAAGGGATAGTGCAGGAGCCTGAGGCTGGCAGCAGTGTAGCTGGCACCATCCCTGGGCCCAAAGGAAAGAGGAAAGAGAGAAGTAACTAGCCGAAGGGTATGAAAGCTCATAATAGTATCCTTCCAGGGAAGAAAGAAGAAAGCATAAAGATAGAAAATAGATTTAAAGAGACCAAGTAGCTGTGTTGAGGAAACTCAAATTCAAGATAACACAGAGAAGGAATTCAGAATCCTATCAGATACATTTAACAAAGGGATTGAAATAATTTAAAAGAATCAAGAAATTCTCAGGGTGAAAAATGTAATTGATATACTGAAGAGTGCATCAGAGTCTCTTAACGGAAGAATAGACTAAGCAGAAGAAAGAATTAGCTTGAAGACAGGCTATTTGAAAATAGTCAAATAAAAAAATAAAGAAATAAAAAATGAAAATACACAATCAGAAGGGACAAAAGAAAAAATAATAAAAAAGAATGAAGCACATCTATGAGATCTAGAAAACAGCCCCAAAGGGGCAAATCTAAGAGTTATTGGCCTTAAAGAGGAGGTAGAGAAAGAGATAGGAGTAAAAAGTTTAAAGGGATAATAACAGTAAACTTCCCAAACCTAGAGAAAGATATCAAAATCCTAATACAAGAAGGTTATAGAACACCAAGCAGATTTAACCCAAAGAAAACTACCTCAAGGCTTTTAATAATCAAACTACCAAGGGTCAAGCATAAAGGAAAGATTCCAACAGCAGCAAGAGAAAAGAAGCAAATAACATAAAATGGAGCTCCAATAGGTCTCACAGCAGACTTTTCAATGGAAACCTTACAGGCCAGGAGAGAGCGGCATGACATATGTAAAGTGCTGAAGGAAAAGAAAACATTTACTCTAGAATAATACATATCGTGAAAATATCCTTCAAATGTGAAGAAGAAATAAAGACTTCCCCAGACAGACAAAAGCTGAATGATTTCATCAACACAAGACCTGATCTACAAGAAATGCTAACGAGTTCTTCAATTTGAAAGAAAAGGACATTAATGAGCAATAAGAAATCATCTGAAGGTCCAAAACTCATTGGTAATAGTAAGTACACAGAAAAACACAGAATATGAAAACACTGTAACTGTGATTTGTAAACTACTCTTTTTTTTTTTTTTTTCCAGGTTCAAGTGATTCTCCTGCCTCAGCCTCCCAAGTAGCTGGGACTACAGGCATGCGCCACCACGCCCAGCTAATTTTTGTATTTTTAGTAGAGACGGGGTTTCACCATGTTGGCCAGGATGGTCTTGATCTCTTGGCAGGATGGTCTTGATCTCTTGACCTCGTGATCCACCCACCTCGGCTTCCCAAAGTGCTGGGATTACAGGCGTGAGCCACCGCGCCCAGCCTTGTAAACTAGTCTTATACTAAATAGACCAAAAGATCAACCAATTGAAAATAATAACTAAAAGAAATTTTCAAGGGATGCATAGTACATTAAGATATAAATAGAAACAACAAAAAGTTAAAATGTGGGGGATGAAGTTAAGGCATAGAGTTATTATTAGTTTTCTTTTTGCTTGTTTATGCAAGCACTATTAGGTTGTGATAACAGTGATAAGCTTAAAATAATGGCTTATAAAATAGTGCTGGAAAATCTCATGGTAACTCAAATCACAAACATACAACAAATAGACACAAAAGTAAAAAGCAAGAAATTAAATCATACCACCAGAGAAAATCACCTTTACTAAAAGGAAGACAAGAAGAAAGGACGAAGAGAAGACCACAAAACAATCAGAAAACAAATAATAAAATGGCATGAATATTACTTATCAGTAATAACATTGGATGTAAATGTACTAAACTCTCCAATCAAAAGACATAAAATGAAGATTCAGTGATCTGTCGCTTAGAAGAAACACACTTCATTTATGGAAGACACATACAGACTAAAAATGATGTAAAAAGATATTCCATACCAATGGAAACTAAAAAGGAGCAGAAGTAGCTACACTTACATCAGACAAAATAGATTTCAAGACAAAAACTATAAGAAGAGACAAAGAAGGTCATTATATAATGATAAGGGGATCGACTCAGCAAGAGGATAACAATTACAAATGTATATGCATCCAACACTGGAACACGCAGATATATAAAGGAAAGATTACCAGAGCTAAAGAGACAGACCAATAATAGCTGGAGACGCCAACACCCCACTTTTGGCACTGGAGAGATCTTCCAGACAGAGAATCAATAAAGAAATATCACACCTAATGTGCACTATAGACCAAATGGACCTCATAAATATTTACAGAACATTTCATCCAACAGCTGCAGAATACACATTCTTTTCCTCAGCACATGAATTATTCTCAAGGATAGATCATATGTTAGGTCACAAAGCAAGTGTTAAAACATTCAAAAAATTGAAATAATATCAAGCATCTTCTCTGACTACAATGAAATAAAAGTAGAAATCAATAAAAGGAGAAATTTTAGAAACTATACAAATACATGGAAATTAATATGCTCCTGAATGACCAGTGGGTCAATGAAGAGGTTAAGGGGGAAATTGAAAAGTTTTCTGAAACAAATGTTAATGGAAACACAACATGCCAAAACCTATGGGATACAACAAAAGAAGTACTAAGAGGGAAGTTTATAACTAAAAGCATCTACATCGAAAAAGAAAAAAAAACTTCAAACAAATTACCTAACAATGCATCTTAAAGAACTAGAAAAGCAAGAGCAAACCAAACCCAGAATTAGTAGAAGAAAAGATAATAAAAATCAGAGCAGAATTAAAGATTTTGAAATAAAGTAGCACAAAAGATCAATGAAACAAAAAGTTGGTCTTTGAAAAGATAAACAAAATTGACAAATCTTTAGACAGAATAAGAAAAAAAAGAGAGAGGAGCCAAATAAGATTAGAAATGAAAAATGAGACATTAGAACAAATGCCACAGAAATTCAAAGGCTCATTAGTGGCTATTATGAGCAACTATATGCCAATAAATTGGAAAATCTAGAAGAAATTGATAAATTCCTACATATGTACAACCTACCCAGATTGAACCAGGAAGAAATCCAAAACCTGAACAGACTAATAACAAGGTATGAGATAGAAACTGTTAATAAAAAAATAAAAATTTTCCCAGCAAAGAAAAAGCCAGGACCCAATGGCTTCACTGCTGAATTGTACCAAACATTTGGAGAAGAATTAATACCAATCCTACTCAAACTATTACAAAAAGTATAGGAGGGGGGAATACTTGCAAACTCATTCTATGAGGCTAGATCTATCCTGATACCAAAAGCAGACAAAGACGCACCAAAAAATAAAACTACAGGCCAATATTTCACTGATGAATATTGATGCAAAAATTCTCAACAAATACTAGCAGACCAAATTCAACAATACATTAAAAAGATCATTCATCATGACCAAGTGAGATTTATCCCTGGATGCAAGGATGGTTTAACATATGCAAATCAATCAATGTGATATATCATCTCAACAGAATGAAGGACAGAAGACATATGATTATTTCAATTGATGATTAAAAAGCACTTGATAAAATTTAACACCTCTTCATGATAAAAACCCTCAATAAACAAGATATAGAAGGAACATACCTCAATATAATAAAAGCCATATACAACAGACTTATGGCTAGTATCACACTGAATGGGGAAAACTGAAAGCCTTTCCTCTAAAATATGGAACAAGACAACGAAGTCCACTTTCTTTTTTTATTTTTTCTTTCTTTTTCAATAAGACTGCTCAAGGATCAAATATGCCCACTTTCATCACTGTTATTCAACATAGTACTGGAAGTCCTAGCTAGAGCAATCAGATAAGAGAAAGAAATGAAGGGCATCCAAATTGGAAAGGAAGAAGTCAAATTATCTTTATTTGCAGATGATATGATCTTATATTTGGAAAAACCTAGACTCCACCAAATTAAAACTGATAAATTTATTAAAATTGGAGGATACAGAAGCAACATACAAAAATCAGTAGGATTTCTATATGCCAACAGCGAACAATCTGAAAAAGAAATTAAGAAAGTAATCCTATTTACAATAGTTAAAAATAAAATATAATACGTAAGAATTAACTAAAGAAAAAATTGACACCCTAACATCACAATTAAAAGAACTAGAGACGCAAGAGCAAACACATTCAAAAGCTAGCAGAAGGCAAGAAATAACTAAGATCAGAGCAGAACTGAAAGGGATAGAGACACAAAAAACCCTTCAAAAAATCAATGAATCCAGGAGCTGGTTTTTTTGAAAAGATCAATAAAATTGATAGACAGCTAGCAAGACTAATAAAGAAGAAAAGAGAGAAGAATCAAATAGACGCAATAAAAAATGATAAAGGGGATATCACCACCGATCCCACAGAAATACAAACTACCATCAGAGACTACTATAATCACCTCTACGGAAATAAACTAGAAAATCTAGAAGAAATGGATAAATTCCTCGACACATACACCCTCCCAAGACTAAACCAGGAAGAAGCTGGATCTCTGAATAGACCAATAACAGGCTCTGAAATTGAGGCAATAATTAATAGCTTACCAACCAAAAAAAGTCCAGGACCAGACGGATTCACAGCCGAATTCTACCAGAGGTACAAGGAGGAGCTGGTACCATTCCTTCTGAAACGATTCCAATCAATAGAAAAAGAGGGAATCCTCCCTAACTCATTTTATGAGGCCAGCATCATCCTGATACCAAAGCCTGGCAGAGACACAACAAAAAAAAAAGAGAATTTAATACCAATATCCCTGATGAACATCAATGCAAAAATCCTCAATAAAATACTGGCAAAACAAATCCAGCAGCACATCAAAAAGCTTATCCACCATGATCAAGTGGGCTTCATCCCTGGGATGCAAGGCTGGTTCAATATACGCAAATTAATAAACATAATCCAGCATATAAACAGAACCAACGACAAAAACCACATGATTATCTCAATAGATGCAGAAAAGGCCTTTGACAAAATTCAACAAGGCTTTATGCCAAAAACTCTCAATAAATTATGTATTGATGGGAAGTATCTCAAAATAATAAGGTATCTATGACAAACCCACAGCCAATATCATACTGAATGCGCAAAAACTGGAAGCATTCCCTTTGAAAACTGGCACAAGACAGGGATGCCCTGTCTTGAGAGAGGGATGCCTTCTCTCACCACTCCTATTCAACATAGTGTTGGAAGTTCTGGCCAGGGCAATCAGGCAGGAGAAGGAAATCAAGGGTATTCAATTAGGAAAAGAGGAAGTCAAATTGTCCCTGTTTGCAGATGACATGATTGTATATCTAGAAAACCCCATTGTCTCAGCCCAAAATCTCCTTAAGCTGATAGGCAACTTCAGCAAAGTCTCAGGATACAAAATCAATGTGCAAAAATCACAAGCATTCTTACACACCAATAACAAACAGAGAGCCAAATCATGAGTTAACTCCCATTCACAATTGCTTCAAAGAGAATAAAATACCTAGGAATCCAACTTACAAGGGATGTGAAGGACCTCTTCAAGGAGAACTTCAAACCACTGCTCAATGAAATAAAAGAGGATACAAACAAATGGAAGAAGATTCCATGCTCATGGGTAGGAAGAATCAATATCGTGAAAATGGCCATACTGCCCAAGGTAAATTATAGATTCAGTGCCATCCCCATCAAGCTACCAATGACTTTCTTCACTGAATTGGAAAAAACTACTTTAAAGTCCATATGGAACCAAAAAAGGGCCAGCATTGCCAAGTCAATCCTAAGCCAAAAGAACAAAGCTGGAGGCATCACGCTACCTGACTTCAAACTATACTACAAGGCTCCAGTAACCAAAACAGCATGGTACTGGTACCAAAACAGAGATGTAGACCAATGGAACAGAACAGAGCCCTCAGAAATACTGCCGCATATCTACAACCATCTGATCTTTGACAAACCTGACAAAAACAAGAAATGGGGAAAGGATTCCCTATTTAATAAATGGTGCTGGGAAAACTGGCTAGCCATATGTAGAAAGCTGAAACTGGATCCCTTCCTTACACCTTATACAAAAATCAATTCAAAGTGGATTAAAGACTTACATGTTAGACCTAAAACCATAAAAACCCTAGAAGAAAACCTAGGCATTACCATTCAGGACATAGGCATGGGCAAGGACTTCATGTCTAAAACACCAAAAGCAATGGCAACAAAAGCCAAAATTGACAAATGGGATCTAATTAAACTAAAGAGCTTCTGCACAGCAAAAGAAACTACCATCAGAGTAAACAGGCAACCTACAGAATGGGAGAAAATTTTTGCAGTCTACTCATCTGACAAAGGGCTAATATCCAGAATCTACAAAGAAGTCAAACAAATTTACAAGAAAAAAACAACCCCATCAAAAAGTGGGCGAAGGATATGAACATACACTTCTCAAAAGAAGACATTTATGCAGCCAAAAGATGCATGAAAAAATGCTCGCCATCACTGGTCATCAGAGAAATGCAAATCAAAACCACAATGAGATACCATCTCACACCAGTAAGAATGGTGATCATTAAAAAGTCAGGAAACAACAGGTGCTGGAGAGGATATGGAGAAATAGGAACACTTTTACACTGTTGGTGGGACTGTAAACTAGTTCAACCATTGTGCAAGTCAGTGTGGCGATTCCTCAAGGATCTAGAACTAGAAATACCATTTGACCCAGCCATCCCATTACTGGGTACATAGCCAAAGGATTAGAAATCATGATGCTATAAAGACACATGCACACGTATGTTTATGGCGGCACTATTCACAACAGCAAAGAGTTGGAACCAACCCAAATGTCCAACAATGATAGACTGGATTAAGAAAATATGGCATATATATACCATGGAATACTATGCAGCCATAAAAAATGATGAGTTCATGTTCTTTGTAGGGACATGGATGAAGCTGGAAACCATCATTCTCAGCAAACTATCTCAAGGACAAAAAACCAAACACCACATGTTCTCACTCGTAGGTGGGAACTGAACAATGAGAACACATGGACACAGGAAGGGGAACATCACACACTGGGGCCTGTTGTGGGGTGGGGGAGGGGGGAGGGATAGCATTAGGAGATATACTTAATGTTAAATGAGTTAATGGGTGCAGTGCACCAACATGGCACATGCATACATATGTAACAAACCTGCACGTTGTGTACATGTACCCTAAAACTTAAAGTATAATAAAAAAAGATAACAAAAACTATAAAAAAGACGTTTCAAATAACCTATAATCTCATCAATTAATAATACAATATTAATATTTTAAAGAATTTCCTTTTATTTCAATTGTGCCTACATCTGTTCATCTACTTTTGTATAAACATATAAACACACGAAAAGAATATATTCACTTTATTCAGAATAAAACTATACTCAAAGTTATGGGGCCCTAAAAAAAAATTTTAAAGGATACAAAAAAATGGAAAGATATTCCATGTTTATGGATTAGACGAATCAATATTGTTAAATGTCCATACTACCCAAAGCAATCTACAGATGCAATGCAATCCCTATCAAAATATCAATGACATTTTTCACAGAAATAGAAAAAACAATCCTAAAGTTTATATGGGAACACACACACACACACACACACACACACACACACACACACACAGACACACACAAGCCCAGAATAGCCAAAGCTATCCTGAGCAAAAAGAACAAAACTGGAGGAATCACATTGCCTTACTTCAAATTATACTACAGAGCTATAGTAGCCAAAACAGCATGGTAGAGTTACAAAAACAGACACATAGACAAGTGGAACAGAATAGAGAACCCAGAAATAAATCCACACATCTACAGTGAACTCATTTTTGACAAAGATGTTAAGAACATACATCAGGGAAAGGACAGTCTCTTCAATAAATGGTGCTGGGAAAACTGGATATCCATATGCAGAAGAATGAAACTACACTCCTATCTCTTGCCACATACAAAAATCAAATCAAATGCATTAAAGACTTAAGTCTAAAGATTTAAATCTATGTTCTCAAACTATGAAACTACTACAAGAAAACATAGGGGGAAATCTCCAGGATATTGGTCTGGGCAAAAATTTCTTGAGTAATACCCCACAAGCACAGGCAATTGAAGCAAAAATCAACAAAAGAGATCACATCAAGTTAAAAAAAAAAACAAACTTCTGTATAGCAAAGGATGCAATCAACAAAGTGAAGAGACAACCCACATAATGGGTGAAAATATTTGCAAACTACCCATTTGACAAGGGATTAATAACAAGAATACATAAGGAGCTCAGACAACTCTATAGGAAAATAACCTAATAATCTGATTAAAACAGACAAAATATCTGAATAGACATTTCTCAAAAGAAGATATCCAAATGTCAAATAGGTAAATGAAAAGGTGCTCAACATCACTGATCAGAGAAATGCAAATCAAAACTACAATGAGAAATCATCTTACCACAGGTTAAAAATGGCTTATATCCAAAAGACAGGCAATAACAAATGCTGGTGAGGATGTGGAGAAAAGGGAACCCTTGTACACTGTTGGTGGGATTGTAAATTAATACAACCACTATGGAGGTTCATCAAAACACTAAAAGTAGAGCTACCATATGATTGAGCAATCCCATTGCTAGGTATATACTCGAAAGAAAGGAAATCAGAATATCGAAGATGTATCTGTACTCTCATGTTTCTTGCAGCACTATTCACAATAGCCAAGATTTGGAAGCAAACTAAATGTTCATCAACAGCTGAATCAATAAAGAAAATATAGTACAATTACATAATGGAGTGCTATTCAGCCATAAAAAAATAAGATTCCGTCATTTGCAACAACATGGATGGAACTGGAGGTCATTATGTTAAGTGAAATCAGTCAGGCACAGAAAGACAGACTAAATGCTCTCACTTATTTGTGGGAGCCAACAATTAAAACAATTGAACTCATAGACGTAGAGAGTAGAAGGATGCTTACCAGAGGCTGGGAAGCATAATGTGGTGGGGGGAGTGGGTAGGGCGTGGGGAATGGAGATGGTCAATGGGTACAAAAAAATTAGAAAGTGTTGGGAGCAGGCCCCCCAAAATCTGGCCATAAACTGTCCCTAAAATTGACCATAAACAAAATCTCTGCAGCACTGTAACATGTTCATAATGGCCCTAACGCCCAAGCTGGAAGGTTGTGGGTTTATGGGAATGAGGGCAAGGAACACCTGGCCCGCCCAGGACGGAAAACTGCTTAAAGGCGTTCTTAAGCCACAAACAATAGCATGAGTGATCTGTGCCTTAAGGACATGCTCCTGCTGCAGTTAACTAGTCCAACCTATTCCTTTAATTCAGCCCATCCCTTTTCCCATAAGGGATACTTTTAGTTAATTTAATATCTATAGAGACAATGCTAATGACTGGTTTGCCATTAATAAATACGTGGGTAAATCTCTGTTCGGGGTTCTCAGCTCTGAAGGCTGTGAGACCCCTGATTTCCTACTTCACACCTCTGTAGTTCTGTGTGTGTGTCTTTAATTCCTCTAGCGCTGCTGGGTTAGGGTCTCCCCGACTGAGCTGGTCTCGGCAAGTGGTGTCCATTCGTGGGGGCTCAAATCCAGGTCGAAGGGTCGCCAGAGCAACAGTTGGAATGGAAAACCAGCTGGAGGACACAGGAGTACTCTTAAAGCAATCCCCGTGGTGAGTAAGAAGGGGAGCTTGGAAGGGTAACAATGGGACAAGTGTGGGGTCTGGTTCATTCCATCTTGGAACTTTTTCACACTGATCATGAGGAGGAAGGAGAGTATAGTGAAGTAACAGAAGAGGTTACAGAGCATGTTCATTTACCAGCTAAAGCAGCAAAGGAAGGAGAGGTTCATCCCTACCCTTCTGCACCCCCTCATTATTATTTTGAAGAAAAAGACCCTCCAGATCTTTCTTTTCCGGAGGACACGGGGCGAAAAGTAGTTGCCCCTGTGACTATTTGAGCAGCGCCTCAAGCGACTGCTTTTAGTTCTATTCAGGTAGGAATTCAGCAAGCTAGATGAGAGGGTGATTTAGAGGCTTGGCAGTTCCCTGTTAGAATACACCCCTCCCACCCCCAATCAAAAGGGAAATATTATAGCCACATTTGAGCCTTTTCCTTTTAAATTACTCAAATAATTTAAACAAGCTATAAATCAGTATGGACCAGGTTCTCCTTTTGTAATGGGACTGTTAAAGAATGTTGCTGTTTCCAGTCAGATGATTCCTACTGACTGGGATGCTCTTACTCGAGCTTGTCTAACCCCTGCTCAGTTCTTACAATTTAAAACTTGGTGGGCAGACGAAGCTTCCATTCGGCTTCTCACAATGCCCAGGCCCAACCTCAAATTAATATAACTGCACACCAACTTTTGGGGGTTGGTGGTTGGGCTGGTTTTGATGCACAACTGGTCATGCAGGATGATGCCTTAGAACAGCTTAGAGGAGTGTGCATTAGAGCTTGGGAAAAAATCACTTCAGGTGGGGAACAATACCCTTCCTTTAGTGCTATAAAACAGGGACCAAGAGAACCATACATTGATTTTATAGCTCGGTTACAGAAGTCTCTTAAAAAGATGATTGCAGATTCGGCTGCTCAGGACATAGTGTTGCAGTTATTAGCTTTTGACAATGCTAATCCCAATTGCCAGGCTGCTCTGCGACCTATCAGAGGGAAAGCACATTTAGTTGATTATATCAAGGCCTGTGATGGTATTGGAGGTAATCTGCATAAAGCTACTCTGCTAGCACAGGCAATAGCAGGACTGAGAGTGGATAAAGGAAATACTCTGTTTCCTGGAACTTGTTTTAACTGTGGGAAGCATGGTCATACTAAATAGAATGTAGAAAAAATCAGTGAGTCAGGCCGTCAGTTAGGGGAAAAAAGAAAACTGCTGATCCTGAAATATGTCCAAAATGTAAAAAAGGAAAACATTGGGCTAATCAGTGTCACTCTAAGTTTGATAAAGAAGGGAACCCAATTTCGGGAAATGCCATGAGGGGCCCATCCCGGGCCCCATTCTAAACCGGGGCATTTCCAGCTCAGGCCTTTCCCTCACTGCTGTACAATGTCTGTCCCCCGCCACAGCTGGTAGTGCCACAGTAGATTTATGCTGCACAAAAGCTGTGAGCTTTCTGCCTGGGGAACCCCCGCAAAAGGTCCCAGCAGGAGTCTGTGGACTCTTGCCAGCAGGGACGATAGGATTACTTTTAGGAAGGTCTAGTGTAAGTTTAAAAGGCATACAAATACATACAGGAGTCATTGATTCAGATTATAATGGGGAAATTCAAATTGTTACATCTACTTCTGTTCCTTGGAGAGCAGAGCCAGGAGAGCGCATAGCACAGCTCCTGATTTTGCCGTATGTGGGAATGGGAAAAAGTGAAATTAAACGAATAGGAGGATTTGGAAGCACAAATAAACAAGGCAAAGCAGCTTATTGGGTAAATCAAATTACTGATAAACGTCCTACCTGTGAAATAACTATTCAGGGAAAGAAATTTAAAGGTTTGGTAGATACAGGAGCAGACATTTCAATCATTTCTCTACAGCGCTGGCCATCTGCATGGCCAATTCAACCTGCTCAATTTAACATAGCTGGAGTTGGTAAAGCCCCTGAAGTATATCAAAGTAGTTATATTTTGCACTGTGAAGGGCCTGATGGACAACCTGGGACTATTCAACCAATTATAACTTCTGTACCTGTAAATTTATAGGGAAGAGATTTATTACAACAATGGGGAGCACAAGTTCTAATTCCAGAACAATTATATAGCCCTCAAAGTCAACATACAATGCATGAAATGGGGTATGTCCCTGGTATGGGACTAGAAAAAAATTTGCAAGGTTTGAAAGAACTGCTTCAAGTGGAAAAACAAAGTTCTCGCCAAAAATTAGGAAATAATGTTTGATGGCGGCCATTGTTAAGCCTCCAGAACCTATACCTTTAAAATGGTTAACAGATAAGCCAATTTGGATAGAACAATGGACGCTAAGTAAAGAGAAACTGGAGGCTTTAGATAAATTAGTTACTGAACAATTAGAAAATGGGCACATAGCTCCAACATTTTCCCCTTGGAATTCTCCAGTTTTCGTAATTAAGAAAAAATCAGGTAAATGCAGAATGTTAACTGACTTAAGAGACATCAATTCAGTTACACAACTTATGAGAGCATTACAGCCAGGATTGCCTTCTCCTGCTATAATTCCAAAAAATTGGCCTTTGATAGTCAAAGATTTAAAAGACTGTTTCTTTACTATCCCTTTAGCTGAGCAAGACTGTGAACAGTTTGCATTTACAATTCCTGCAGTAAACAACCTGCAGCCTGCTAAGCGTATTCATTGGAAAGCGTATTCATTGGAAAGGGGCATGTTAAATAGCCCCACAATTTGCCTGACATATGTGGGGCAAGCAATTGAACCTACTCGTAAAAAGTTTTTACAGTGTTACATTATTCACTATATGGATGATATACTTTGTGCTGCCCCACTCGAGAAATATTACTCCAATGTTATGATCACTTGCAAAATTCGATTTCTTGCGTTAGTTTAATTATAGCTCCTGACAAAATTCAGACTACTACTCCTTATTCTTACTTGGGGACCTTAGTAAATGACACTACCATTGTGCCACAGAAAGTAACCATACTTAGGGATAAATTAAAAACATTAAATGATTTTCAAAAATTACCAGGGGATATTAATTGGATACGACCTGCTCTAGGCATTCCTACCTATGCCATGAGTAATCTGTTTTCTATCCTTAGAGGAAATCCTAGTCTCACTAGCCCTTGGCAATTAACAAACGAGGCAGAGGCAGAGTTACAACTGATTGAGAAGCAAGTCCATAAAGCTCAAATAAATAGAATAGATCCAGAGAAGACTCTAGATTTGCTAATTTTTTCAACTCAGCATTCACCCACTGGTGTTATTGTCCAAGAACAGGACTTAGTAAAATGGCTTTTTCTTCCACATACTAATTCATGGACTCTAACTCCTTATTTAGATCAAATCACTACTATAGGGAGTAGGAGAACTCAGATTGTTAAATTACATGGATATGATCCTAGAAAAATTATTGTCCCTCTCACGAAGGCACAAATACAGCAAGCTTTTATAAAAAGTCTTACTTGGCAAACCCATTTAGCTGACTTTGTGGGTATTCTCAATAATCATTTTCCTAAAATGAAGCTGTTTCAGTTTTTGAAATTAACTAATTGGATTCTCCCCAAAATAACTAAGTTTAAATCAATTGAAGGGGCTGAGAATGTTTTTACAGATGGGTCTAGTAATGGTAAAGCTTCTTATTTTGGCTCAAAAAGTAAAGTTTTCCAGACGTCCTATACTTCAGCTCAAAAAGCAGAGCTTGTAGTGGTAATTGAGGTATTGACTGCTTTTGATGTGCCTATTAATGTGATTTCTGATTCTTCATATGTGGTTCATTCCAACAGAGTTAATTAAAAATGCTCAGTTATGATTTCATACAGATACACAACTGATGACTTTATTTACCCAATTGCAAACAGCAGTTAGACGTAGAATGCACCCTTTTTACATCACTCACATTAGGGCTCATATACCTCTTCCAGGATCTTTGACTGAAGGGAATCAAATGGCTGATCGCCTAGTTGCTAATGCAATATCTAATGCTAGACACTCACAATTTAACCCATGTTAATGCCTCTGGTCTCAAACGCAGATACAGCATTACCTGAAAAGAAGATAACCTGGGGTAGAGGTTATGCTTGTGTTTCTCCAGGCCAAAATCAACAGCTGATCTGGATACCATCAATACACCTGAAACCTTAGCATAAGCCAGATTACAGGAGGATCCCGAGGACCCCCCAGTTGCAGCCATGTCAAGACTGATGCTGAGGAGGACCCCAATTGTCACGAGCAACACCCGTCAAACACAGCCACCCACCTGGGGACAGATCAAGAAGCTGTCACAGATGGCGGAAGAAAACCTGAGGAAAGCGGGACAACCAGTCACAATGAATAATTTAATGGTAGCTATGATAGCGGTTATCACCACTGCCATGAGTATTCCTTCAACAGGGGCTGACACAGAGAACAGTTATACTTATTGGGCATATTTATCAATCTTGGCCGGCAATAATGCCTGGATGCAATCACTCTGACACAGTTACACATGCTTTCTGATCTCAGTATTTACCATAATAAATCTGCTCATATAATTGAGGCATACCATCCTCAAAAACCTTTTTGTAAACAGGATTGGACCCAGTTAGAAAAAGATGAACGTACTTGTTTAGGAAGATTGCTTTGCAGAACAGACAGAGGTGCTGCACAATGATTCCTATGGAATCATTATTAATTGGTACCCTAAGGGGATGTTTAGCTTGAATTGCACCTCTCAGTCTGCGTGCCATGGCCACACTATGTTCAGATGATCTGAACAAAACGGTCAGATGGTAGAAATGATAAGAAGTATGGCAAAAGTTCCTATTATCTGGAACCGTGGCGGTATAGTGGCACCTCAACCTCAAATGATATGGCCTGCTCTAGAAGCTTAACATAAGGATTTGTGGAAACTATTAGATGTTCTTAATAAGATCAAAATTTGGGAAAGAATAAAAAGGCATCTAGAAGGACACTCTACAAACTTGTTTTTGGATATGGCAAAATTAAAAGAACAAATATTTAAAGCATCCCAGGCACACCTGACCTTAATGCCAGGAACTGGAGTCCTTAAAGGAGCTGCAGACAAATTAGCAGCTAGTAACCCATTAGAATGGATAAAAACACTTGGAAGCTCTGTATTTCAATGATGATTGTGCTTTTAATCCATGTTGTTTGTCTTTGTATAGTGTGCAGATGTGGATCCTGACTCCTGTGAGAAGTAGCTCACTGTGACAAAGCTGCCTTTGCTTTTATCTCTTTGCAAATCAAAGAAGGGAGACATGTTGGGAGCAGGCCCCCCCAAAATCTGGCCATAAACTGTCCCCAAAACTGGCCATAAACAAAATCTCTGCAGCACTGTAACATGTTCATAATGGCCCTTAACACCCAAGCTGGAAGGTTGTGGGTTTATTGGAATGAGGGCAAGGAACACCTGGCCCGCCCAGGATGGAAAACCACTTAAAGGCATTCTTAAGCCACACACAATAGCATGAGCAATCTGTGCCTTAGGGACATGCTCCTGCTGCAGTTAACTAACCCAACCTATTCCTTTAATCCGGCCCATCCCTTCGTTTCCCATAAGGGATACTTTTAGTTAATTTAACATCTATAGAAACAATGCTAATGACTGGTTTGCTGTTAATAAATACGTGGGTAAATCTCTGTTCGGGGGCTCTCAGCTCTGAAGGCTGTGAGACCCCTGATTTCCCACTCCACACCTCTATATTTCTGTGTGTGTGTCTTTAATTCCTCTAGTGCCACTGGGTTAGGGTCTCCCCGACCGAGCTGGTCTTGGCAAGAAAGAATGAGTAAGACCTATTATTTGCTAGCACAACAGGGTGACTATAGTAAAAAATAATTTAATTATACATTTTAAAATAACTAAAAGAGTATAATTGGATTTTTTGTAACATAAAGGATAAATGCTTTATCCTTTAGCAAAGATGGATACTCCATTCTGATGTGATTATTACGCATTGCATGCTTTATCAAAATATCTCATGTAACCCATAAGTATATATATCTACTATGTACCCACAAAAATTAATATTAAACTTGTCCAGGTGACTTTGGGAATTCCCATCCCATTCTCACCACTGCAAAGCCTTTAGGCAATAGGAAAATCCTCTAAATCAAAACAGTATTAAACCATATTCAGATAAGCCATTTTCTTTGAGTTGGACTTAAGAGTTTGAGACTGCCTCATGGGAAGCATCTCAGAGGATGAGATAATGGAGAAAGACTGGTGTAGTAGTTAAGGCCATAGGGTTTTGAGCTGAACACACTTCAGTCACATTCTGGCCATGCCCCTAACTTGCTGTGTGACCCATGACATATTACTGAGGATACAGCCTCTATGTCCTTATCTATAAAATCAAAATACTAAAACCTACATCATAGAGATACTTGAGGATTAAAAGGGTTACTGTGCAAACTTGCTCTTAACACAGTCTATACAATTTAATAAGCATTCGACAAATGATATCATCATTACATACAAGGATACCTCAAGACTTAGAGAGGAAGCTGAGCTTGTAACTAAAGATGAAGAAGACCAGTGCACAAAATGGACCACCTCGGGGTCATCAATTGTAATGGTTGTCATGTTGTGGCCTTTTGAAACTGTAGTTTTGAAAATGAAACTACATACAATGAAGGGAGAAATTTTCTTTCTTGTTTTTTTTTTTTTTTTTTTTTTTTTTTTTTTTTTTTTTTTTTTGGAGATGGAGTCTTGCTCTGTTGCCCAGGCTGGAGTGTAGTGGCATGACCTCGGCTCACTGCAAACTCTGCCTCCCAGGTTCAAGCAATTCTCGTGCCTCAGCCTCCTGAGTAGCTGGGATTTCAGGTACATGCCACCATGCCTGGCTAATTTTTATATTTTTAGTAGAGACAGGGTTTCACCAGGTTGGCCAGGCTGGTCTCAAACTCCTGACCCCAAGTGATCCACCCACCTCGGCCTTCCAAAGTGCTGGGATTACAGGCATGAGCCACTGTGCCCGGCCATGAAGGGAGAAATTTTTTACACAAGTTAGTCAATCTTAGGGGCATCTTCTCTAGAGCTTTAAGATCTTTACTAATTATTCAAACTTCTTATAGGACCTAGAGATGCCTCCCTAGGGTTTGAGAGTACCAAAATTAATGAAGACCTACAGTTAAATCTCAAAACACCTAGGGGCTATCACAGATGGAGAAATCAGAGAAAAGCTTTCAGATTCTATTTCCACAGCCTTCTCAACTAAAATCAACTCATCAAAGACTTAAGAGTACCGACAACAAAGAGATGAATTAGTCTCTGTCTATGAATACCACTTAGAAAACAACTGGAAAGATTACCCAGGTTTAACTCTAAACGGCATCTGCTTTAGTTACCAGTTTTGTTAATGAGCTCCATACTAAACTCAGAGAGTTTACTCATACTAATTAACATCGTATTAATTATATGCTCCTCTCCACCTGTCCTAATTCAAGTTATACCTATTTGTGGACCTAGAAGGTAAGAGTAAAGCAGAGGGCTGATCTGCTTTTTACACAATTTCCCTTTGTCTCTTTGAATTTCATGCTTTCATACATCATCTGTGAAGGAAGCCAAGAGAGAATGAAATTCCACTTAAGTAACTGGCCAAAGGTACCACTGCCAAAATGCCCCTCTCTTTAAGATCCATGTTTTAGCAGAAACCCAAAAGATGTACAGGCATCTAAATAATCTGAAAAATGCAAACTCATGGATCTCCAACTGAAACAACTCATGGGGAATCACCCCAAGGCCTTGAAGTCACCTCGACATCCCTACGATCATGAGTAGTCTGGAGCACCTGTAATTATCTCAAGGTCCAAAAAGAAAAACGTCAGCATCCCAGTGACTCCCCTTTGAGGAATCTGCTCTTGTGCACCCCCTGATACCCTTGAACACACAGGGAGAAATAATAATCCCAGTCAGTGAGCACCCTATGACCTTTCTAATAGATACTAGAACCACCTACTCTACCCTTAACCCTCACAATTCCTTACCATAATGCCTCAGTAGTGGGGGTGGATGATTTGCCTCTTTCTAAGCCCCTTTTGGTGTCTCTTGGACTCCATCATGCCCAACACAGCTTTTTGTTAAATTTCACAATCCCTGTTAATCTATTAGCAGGGATTTACTTTCTATTTGGAATGTTAATATTTTTGTTTATCCGACGTACTAATTCCTGAAGTTCTGGAACTCCTTCCCCCTGGCCTTTATCCTCCAACAGCTCTGATAGATCACCCGTTTCCTTGCTCCCCCCATAATTCCCCAAGCCCTTGGCATCCCTCACTCAGAACATGCTCACTCACATCCATCAGTTTCTTTGGCTACAGGATCAACAGACATATTGGGGAAGTAGGGCCCTTAAAAGTAGAAATAGACTCCACCATTCCCCCTCCATGGACTATCCCAGTTTCCTTCAAAATCTGAAGCAAGTGAAGGTCTCAGATCTGTTTATTATTCAAGGATTCCTTGACAAAAGGTTCCGCATCCCTATTTGCAGTTCCTGTAACGCCTTTGTTTTCCATGTACAACACCTAAGATTAGACACTGCTATAAGAAAATGAAATGGCTGAGTGTAGTGTGATGAGTCACCCACCAGATTACTTAAGGATCTATGTCTGCTGCCTGAACCCTGAAAGCTAGGCAGTGAGTCAGTGGCCCACCCAAGGAGCAGGTATCCCTGAGAACCGAAACATCCCAGAGTATATCTGAGAGCATACCAAGGAAAACAGTCCCATTGCGCACACACAGTAGGAAAAGAGCCAGAAAATTAGCCTAAAAGCAGCTTAGAGGCCGGGCGCGGTGGCTCATGCCTGTAATCCCAGCACTTTGGGAGGCCAAGGTGGGCGGATCACGAGGTCAGGAGATCCAGACCATCCTGGCTAATACGGTGAAACCCCGTCTCTACTAAAAATACAAAAAATTAGCTGGGCGAGGTGGCGGGTGCCTGTAGTCCCAGCTACTCGGGAGGCTGAGGCAGGAGAATGGCGTGAACCTGGGAGGCGGAGCTTGCAGTGAGCCGAGATCGGGCCACTGTACTCCAGCCTGGGCGACAGAGCGAGGAGACTCCGTCTCCCAAAAAAAAAAAAAAAAAAAAAAAAAAAAGCAGCTTAGAAAGGTGACTATAGTCAATAATATTTACACATTAAATAAATGTATAAATATATATAAATAAATTTAAAATAACTAAGAGCATAACTGGATTGTTTATAACACAAAGAATAAATGCTTGAGGGGATGAATACCTCATTTTCCATGATGTGTTTATTATGTATTACATGCCAATATCAAAACATCTCATATACCCCATACACCTACTATGAGGTATATGAGTAGGTATATATCTACTACGCACCCACGAAAATTAATACAAAATTATTTTAAAGTTGGCCAGGCGTGGTGGCTCACGCCTGTAGTCCCAGCACTTTGGGAGGCCAAGGCGGGTCGATCACAAGGTCAGGAGATCGAGACCATCCTGGCTAACACGGTGAAACCCCGTCTCTACTAAAAATACAAAAAAAATTAGCCAGGTGTGGTGGCAGGCGCCTGTAATCCCAGCTACTGGGGAGGCTGAGGCAGGAGAATGGCATGAACCTGGGAGGCGGAGCTTGCAGTGAGCCGAGATAGTGCCACCATACTCCAGCCTGGGCTACAGAGCGAGACTCCGTCTCAAAAAAATAAAATTATTTTAAAGTAAAAATAAATAGATCATAAATGAAAAGCAGACAGGTGGCAGAGCAGACCTCCATGTTGTCCTGCTGCCTTGCTGCTGCCCAGGAGTACCCTGTAGGTAAGTCCCAATAAACTCATCTACTCCTCAAACTGAACTTATCTAAGTCATTCTTTGGTGTCTTGGCTCCTTCCCAGTATGGGGGAACTTGCTTCTATACTGTTCTGGCTTTTTCCCATAACAAATGGTGGTTGCTGGGAACTAGGGGGAGGAGGGCAAGTTGCAGAATAGGGAGTTGTTTAATGGGAATAGTTTCAGTTTTGCAAGACGAAGAGTTCTGGAGAATGACTGCCAACAATGTGAATGTATTTAACACTACTGAGCTGTACACTTACAAATGATTAAGATGGTAAATTTTATGTATATTTTGTCACAATTAAGAATAAAAACTTAAAAATGGGCAAAAGAGGCCGTGCACGGTGGCTCACGCCTGTAATCCCAGCACTTTGGGAGGCCAAGGCGGGCGGATCACCTGAGGTCAGGAGTTCAAGACCAGCCTGGCCAACATGGTGAAACCCCGTCTCTACTAAAAATATAAAAACTAGCTGGGCATGGTGATGGGCACCTGTAATCCCAGCTATTCAGGAGGCTGAGGCAGGAGAATTGCTTGAACCCAGGAGACGCAGGTTGCAGTGAGCTGACACAGTGCCACTGCACTCCAGCCTCGGCGACAGAGCGAGACTCTGTCTCAAAACAAAAAACCAAAAAAAAAAGGGCAAAAGATCTGAACAGATATCTCATGAAAGAAGGTAGACATACGGCAAATGAGTATAGGAAAAGATGCTCAAGTCATATGCCATTAGGAAATTGCAAATTAAAACTACAGTGAAGCCAGGTGCAGAAGCTCATGCCTGTAGTCACAACACTTTGGGAGGCCGAGGTGGGAGGATTACTTGAGACCAGGAGGTCAAGAAGCCCGGGCAACAAGACCCCATCTCTGCAAAACAAATTTAAAAATTTTCCATGTGTGTTGTCATGTGTCTGTAGGTCCAGCTACTCTGGAGGTTGAGGCAGGAGGATTGCTTGAGCCCAGGAGGTGGAAGCTGCAGTGAGCCATGATTGTGCCACTGCACTCCAGCCTGAGCAACAGAGCAAGACCCTGTCTCAAACACTAAAAATTAAATAAATAAACAAACTACAATAGATACCAGTGTCAATACCAAATGCTGACAAGGATGAAGAGCAATAGGAACTTTCATTTATTGCTGGTGGGAATGCACGATGGCAGAGTGGCTTTGGAAAATTTGGAAGTTTCCCACAAACTAAATATATAGCTTTACCATCTGATCCAGCAGTTGTACTCCTAGATATTTAACTACTTATTTCAGCACAAAAACCTGCACATAAATGTTTATAGCGGTTTTATTCAAAATTGTCAACAACTGGAAGCAACCAAGATATCCTTCAATAGGTGAGTGAATAAACTGTAGTACAGTCATTCGATGGAATACGATTCAGCAACTTTTAAAATGAGCTATCACACAATTAAAAGACATGGAGCTTCTTGCCACTGAGTTTAAGAAAAAAGTAAGACATGGAGGAACTTCACACTGATGGCATTCTAGACAAGACAAAACTATAGAGACAGTAAAAAGATCAGCAGTTGGCAGAGGCTTGGAGAGAGCTGGAGAGGAATGAATAGGTAGAACATAGACAGTGTTAGGAGGTAAAACTATTCTGCATGATCTTGTAACGGAGAAATCATTATGAGTTTGTCAAAACCCTTAGAACCATACAATACCAAGAGTGAACTAATATAAACTATAGTCTTTAAATAGACTATATTTAACAATGTAAAGTATATGAACTGTAACAACACTAAAGCAAGATGCTAATAATAGGCGAAACTGTGTAAAGAGGAACAGGGATATGTGGGAATTCTCTGTGCTATATACTCAATTTTTCTGTAAATCAAATGCTGTTCTAAAAAATAAAGCCTATTGGCCGGGCACCGTGGCTCACACCTGTAATTCCAGCACTTTGGGAGGCCGAGGCAGGCAGATCACAAAGTCAAGAGATCGAGACCATCCTGGCCAACATGGTGAAACCCTGTCTCTACTAAAAATACAAAAATTAGCTGGGCATGGTGGTGTGCGCCTGTAGTCCCAGCTACTCGGGAGGCTGAGGTAGGAGAATCACTTGAACCCAGCAGGTGGAGGCTGCAGTGAGCTAAGATTGTGCCACTGCATTCCAGCCTGGGCGACAGAGCGAGACTCCGTCTCAGAAAAATAAATAAAGCCTATTCAAAAGCTTAATGGGAAGAATATTAAATAGTCCAATACCTGCAAGCCATAAACAAACTAATGAAGCCTGGATTCCCTTTAGTTTCTAACCCTAAAACCATCCTCATTTCAATACTCCCTGACACCAATTACTTCACGGTTGACTCATGTTTCCACCTTCTCCAGTAAATTCCTCTGCCCTGAATCACAGCATCTATTTGCCTTCACCTGCGTCAACCTAAAATAATCAAAAGAATCAGAGTCTAATTTAAAGGGAGTTTATTCAAGCACAAAGTGTGATTTTGTATTCTGATTTTGGAGCTCTGGATTGAGCTAATTTTATATCAAATTCAGGTGTTTAAGAGTTAATACAGAGTGTTTTTGTTTAGAGCCACTCTTTTTGCTACCTTATCAGCTAGCTAATTTTCTTTGCTTTCTGGGATATCTGATTTGAAATGGCCTGGAATTTTAATTATAAACAGTGACTGTGGTAATAATATAGCTTTCAAAAATCATGAAATGAGGTGGCCACTTTTTAAGGACTGACCAGAAGAAGTTAAAAATCCTGTGTTTCCATAGTGTTTCAAAATCATGAGCTACTCTAAAAACATATCTACTCTCTATATTAATATTAGCAGTTATTCCTCTTGCCAATTGACAAGTCCTGACTAATGTAATTAATTCTGTTTGTTGAGCTCAGGTGGTGCCTAGAAGCTTAACACTTTCCTCTTCTTCTTCTCCTCCTTCTTTTTTTCCCCCCAGTTAAAGATACTATTGTATAACCTGAGTGGTAAGTCCCAGATTTATCCTTTAAGTAAGATCCATTTGTAAACCAAACACCATTGGCAGTAGTAAGGGGGGTCTCTTTGAGGTCAGTCCTGGGAGAAAGAAGTTGATCAGTGATCAGTTAGGGTTATGCAATAGTGCAGTGTTTTATCTGGAAATGGAGACAGAAGAGTTGTAGGATTTAGGTTATTACATCTAGAGATGTTGATATGAGAAGCTGAAAGAAAGAAAACTTCGTATGAGACTAGTCTACTAACTGAATAATATTGAGTATGACGCGAGTTTAGCAAATGCTTTCACAAGAATGAGAAACAAAACCACTAAGGGCTGTCACCATGAGAATTTCGTCAGTTGCTTCAACTAACAAAGCAGGGGCTTTACGGCTCTCATGGAAGATGGAAATCCTCTTATTACAGAGTCTAACTGTTGGCTACAATACCCCACAGGTCTCTTTGGGCTCCATGTTTTTTAGTCAGGACCCTTAAAATCTTTCCATCACTTTCATGTACAAATACTGAAAATAGAAGATTATAATCTGCATGCACCAAAGCTTGGGCATTAGTAAAGTCATTTTTGATCATTTCTGACATTTCTTGATTTTCTTCTGTCCAAACAAGAGGGTCTGGAATGTCCTGTTTAAAAGAAGCATGTAAGGGCCAGGCATTCATTCATTCATTCATTTAGATGGAGTCTTATTCTTTTTGCCCAGGCTTGAGTGCACTGGCGCGACCTTGGCTCACTGCAACCTCTGCCTCCCGGGTTCAAGCGATTCTCCTGCCCCAGCCTCCCAAGTAGCTGGGATTACAGGCTCCCGCCACCACACTCAGCTATTTTTTTTGTATTTTTAGTAGAGGCAGGGTTTCACCATGTTGGCCAGGCTGGTCTCGAACTCCCGACCTCAGGTGATCCACCTGCCTCAGCCTCCCAAAGTGCTGGGATTACAGGCCTCATGCCTGAGCCACTGTGTCCGGCCAAGGGGCAGGCTTTTAAAGAAAAGTTTGGGATCCAAGTTTTTAAATGTCTTGCCAGCCCCCAGAACTCTCCCAGCTGTTTCTTGGTTCTTCATGGCAGAAGAGCTAAAACTCCTTTCAGTCGGTATGGACTAATAGAAAGTCCTTCCTTAAATATTAGGTGGCCTAAGCACGTCACTTGTTTTTGACAGGATTGGTGTTTTTCTTTTTTTTTTTTTTTTTTTTTTTTTTTTTTTTTTTTTTTTTTGAGACGGAGTCTCGCTCTGTCGCCCAGGCCGGACTGCGGACTGCAGTGGCGCAATCTCGGCTCACTGCAAGCTCCGCTTCCCGGGTTCACGCCATTCTCCTGCCTCAGCCTCCCGAGTAGCTGGGACTACAGGCGCCCGCCACCGCGCCCGGCTAATTTTTTTTTTGTATTTTTAGTAGAGACGGGGTTTCACCTTGTTAGCCAGGATGGTCTCGATCTCCTGACCTCATGATCCACCCGCCTCGGCCTCCCAAAGTGCTGGGATTACAGGCGGTGTTTTTCTTTAGAAGCTTTGTGTCCCTTTGAGTCTAATTGTTGTAACAAGTGAATCCCATTTTTAAGAAATAATTGCTTATCCTCTGAGCAGAGGAGTAAATTGCCTGTGTATTTTATTAAAATGAATTTTCAAGAAGTCAATATCTGGGAGATCTGCTTTTAATATTTGTGAAAAGTAAGCTGGGCTCTCAGTTCATCCCTGAGGCATGACTATTCATGTGTATTGTCTTCCTTCCCAAGTGAAGGTGAAGAGAAATTGATTATTTTTATCTACAGAAATATTAAAGAATGTACTACATAAGTCTATTACAGTAAAGAACTCAGCTTCAGCCGGCGAGGTGGCTCATGCCTGTAGTCCCAGCAATTTGGGAAGCCGAGGCAGGTGGATGGCTTGAGCCCAGGAGTTCAAGACCAGCCTGGGTAACAAGGGGGATAACCCCATCTCTACAAAATATACAAAAAGTAGCCAAGTGTTGTGGTGCGCACCTGTAGTCCCAGCTATACAGGAGGCCGAGGCGGGAGAACTGCTTGAGCCCAGGAGATTGAGGCCTCAGTGAGCTATAATCACACTGCACTCCAGCCTGGGCAACAGAGTAAGGCCCTGTCTCAAAGTAAAAAGAAAAGAACTCAGGTTCAGTTGGGATGTCAGTCAACAACATATGGAAGTTTGGCCCTTCTGGATGTCAAAGAGTGACTATGTTTTTAATTGCTGTCAGATTCTGTACAAACCTCCATCCTCTATCGTTTGATTTCCTTACAGGAAGGACTGGAGTATTACATTGGCTGTTACAGGGAATAATCAAGTCCTATTCTTAAATAATCTGAAACTATAGGCTTTATACCTTTTAGGGCTTCAGTTCTTAGAGGGTATTGTTTAAGGTTTGGAAGGGGTTTTGATGAATCTATTGAACTTTGATTGGGGTAGGCAAGATAAATTTTCCAAAATCAGTGGAAGACTTTAACCATGATTGATTAGGTACTACATTTAGTGGGTTTTATAATTTTTTACTACTCAATAATTTAGTGTCTTCCATGTCAATATGGATTGTTGACAAAAGTATGTCCAATAATTCAGTTTTATCATCTAATTCTAAATACATTTTCCTCTTGGGGAGAAAGAAATGTAGGTATTAAATAATTCTAAGAAGTCTCTTAGAGTATTTGTGACAACTACAGATTGAATTGTTTGTTTACTTCAAGGAATGGGACCTTGTAATAAGGTGGACTTTATTACAGATAAGGTGATTCCAGGTCTGTTAATAAGAGTTTGTGTTAGTTCTCCATTTAAAGTAATTTTTATTCATCTTAAAATAGAGCCAGGGTCATAAGCTCAAATATTTAATTGCGATTTTTCTGGCAAAACCAGAAGACTAGGACTCACAGGGTCCTAGTGAGGATCAGGAAATTCCTTAATTCTACCTTTAAGTTCTACCGTGACTGATACACTAGGGCAGGTTAATCCCTACCAGACACTGGCTGTTCCAGGGATGGAACCAGAGCAGAAGCAGGGGGAGGAGAAAGAAGAGGTCGTTCTAGGTAAAGTAGCCCAGGTAATAAAGGACAAAGAGAAGGAGGAGGTGAGGGAGGAGGAGGAGAAATTTCAGCTGTCTTTTTAAATTTGGAAATTGTTTTAGGTAACTTTTTATTCTCCTTTTGTAAAGAAGTAACTCTATTAAAATCTCTTTTGGATGTTTTAAATACCATTGAAAAGAACTCTCCTAACTATTCTGTTTTATCCTAGAACCAGCTTTTTCTTATTGAGCACACAGGTAAATTAGTTGAGGTATCCCACTTTGGCCATTGCAATTTTAGTTTTTCATGAGTTATGTGCAACCATTTTCTAAATAATGACAAGAAGTGGCACCATAAGTTTCATACATGAGTGCAGCTGGAGTTTCTAAAGGTGGATCTCTCCTTAGGGAGAAAGACTTGATTTTGGAGGGACAATAGTCCATAATTTGAGTTCTCTTAAGTGACCGAAGACCGTGGAAATGGAAATTCTGGTCACTCAAGAAGAGTTTAGCTATGTCAGCTGAACCAAGCTTCAGAACCTAGAAAATATAAAATCACAAATTTAATTTGAGCCACAAAGATTTGCTTCCTCTTTTCAAAGAGAAACACTTTCTCCTTCACCAAAGTTGAACAAGGGAAAAGGCTGAAAAGTTTTGGGAATAAAACAAAACCTTATCCTCAAAGGAATGTGAAAGCACAAATCTGCAAACCACAGAATCTCTAGAGAAATAACAAATGAAACTCCTACTTTTAAAAGTAAAGCTTCAATTTCAGTTTTCTTGAGCGTGGAATCAGGATGCTTCAATAAAGTCTGAATCTCAGCCAAAACCAGAGAGATTCAAAATCTGAGAGAAGCCAGGCCAGAGACCCTCTCCAGGTCCAATGAAGTCAAAGAAGTAAAAGCCACTTGTGCTGTACCAAAGCTCCAGATGTCAGCAAAGCAGTGAAGATTGCAGAAGGCTTACTTCAGGTCCCATCTGCAGGTTATCAAATGTCAACCTAAAATAATTAAAAGAGTCAGAGTCTAGTTTAAAGAGAGTTCATTCACACACAGAATGTGAGGATGGCCCACCCAGAAATCCCAACTCCAAAGGAATAGAGTCAGCAATCCGAAGCAGGGAAGTTAAGATTTCGTTTAGATAGGCAGAGACAGAGGAGTTTTTAGCAGGGTTGCATTATTCATACAGGGTTTGCACATAGATAGTCACAGAAATCTGATTAGTTATATGCAGTGTTTCTTATGAGTAAGAGTACATTTAACATTTTTTTTTGCAAAGGCTGTAATAATCGTGGGTTTTCTGTCATCTTGTCTAAGCAAATCAGGACAATAAAGGGGAGTTAATCTACAACAACAGTCATTAATTAAGAAGGCAGGAAGCTTTTGTCCCTGCCATCATTTAATTCTCTCTAGTCATTGAACAGATCAAGAAAAATAAGAAAACGAGTTAACCTATGATTATAATCTGAGAACAGAAGCTGAGACCATACATAACTCAGATCACAGTCACATCTCTATCAAGGCTTAAAAGTGTTCTTTGGGGTTCCAACAGCTTTTAAATTTATTCATTTTCACACCTGGGGAAATTAGCGGTACACTTGGACTATTATGCCTCAAAGATTAACAGCCTATTTTTTCCCAGACATTAAATGCAAATTTAGAGAGGAGCCAATGATGGCTGACTAGATGCAGCCAGGAAGAGCATCACTCACTGAGACACCAGACCATAGGGAAGACTGCCATACTCCAAGCAGACCTTCAGAGGGAAGGCATTGAGAGTGGACAGAGGGAAGACGCAGACCCTGAACTGAAGCTGGAAGAAAGCTCCTCTAGGTGGCTTTGGCCTTTGGTGGCTGCCAGACCTAGACAGAGAAGGGAGGTCTTGCCCATGGAATGGGACCAGTTTGATCTGAGTGTGCCCCTGTTTACCAGCCTCTCCTGGGGCTCCAGCCCTGCTGCATCTGCTTGCAGCACAGACTCAGATGCCAAACCAGGGTGCTTCCAAGGGCCGTCATAATAATTCCTTCACCTGCTCACCATGCCTAACTCTGGCTCCAGCAGGCCAGTTTCCACTGTTGTGCAATCAACCACCTTGCAGCCTCTCCCCACTGCAGCCTCCTCCCACCACTTTTCCAGCACACAGTCACCCACAGCCCATGCTCACAGCTTTGTCAGTATGAGTGTGGGCAGATCTCACCTCCCCTCCCCTGCCAGCACATGTGTGCACACCCTGCTACCCCATCACCACCAGCACAAGCACGCATATAGACACCACCACCCCACCCCCACTAGTGCCTGGTTCCCACTGACGCATGCATATCCCACCATGCCATCACCACCAGCGCTAGTGCATGCATGAATGCTGCCACCCCACCCCCACTGGTGCCCTGCCACTGCTGATGTGCAGGCACCCTACTGTGCTGCTGTGGCTGCTGGCACACACATGTAAGCACGGATCCCACTGCCACTGCCACAACAAAGCACTTTGGCCAGCACCCAACCAGCAGAGTGTTATGGCCAGTGAGCCAGGAACACCTTAGCCCCTCTTATTGCAGCAAGTTTCTAACCTCGAAGGGCCAGAGAACAAAGCTAGAGCCCAATACTAGCCCCCCAGGGTTAGAACATGCAGACCAGGAGTGATAAACTGAGGCTTGGCCCCCTGAAATACTTTAAACAAAGACAGTTGACTGAACCCATGTTGTACCACACTCAAACCCTCAAGGGCATCGAAGAATATAAACTCAAAAAACCCCATGCAAAGGAAAGCAACTTCAAAGATCAAAGGAACATCAGCCCACACAAATGAGAATCAACCAGCTCAAGAACTTTGGCAACTCAAAAAGCCAAAATGTCTTCTCACCTTCAAATGACCACACTAGTTCTTTGGCAAGGGTTCTTAACTAGGCTGAAATGACTGAAATGAAAGATACAGAATTCAGAGTCTGGATAGGAATGAAGATCATTGAGATTCATTAGAAAGTCAAAACCCAATCAAGCCCAGGCACGGTAGCTCAGGCCTGTAATCCCAGCACTTTGGGAGGCTGAGGTTGGTGGATCACAAGGTCACAAGACCAGCCTGGCCAAGATAGTGAAACCCTGTCTCTACTACACACACACACACACACACACACACACACACACACACACCAGGAATGGTGGCAGATGCCTGTAATCCCAGCTACTTGGGAGGCTGAGGCAGAGAATTGCTTGAATGTGGGAGGCGGAGGTTGCAGTGAGCCGAGATTGCACCACTGCACTCCAGCCTGGGTGACAGAGCAAGATTCTGTCTCCAAAAACAACAACAACCACCACCACCACCACCAAACAAAAAACCCAATCAATTGAATTTAAGGAATCCAATAAAATGATACAAGAGATGAAAGATGAAATAACCATTTAAAAAAAGAACCAAAATGAGCTGATAAAGCTGAAAACTCTGTATAAGAATTGCATAATGCAATTTCAAGTATTTACAGCAGAATAAACCAAGTGGAGGAAAGAATCTCAGGGCTTGAAGACCAGTTCTTTGAATCAACTCAGTCAGACAAAAATAAAAAAAAGAATAAAAAAGAATAAACAAGATCTCCAAGAAGGCTGGGCATGGTGGCTCACACCTGTAATCCCAGCACGTTGGGAGGCCAAGGTAGAAGGATCACTTGAGCCCAGGAGTTCAAGGCCAGCCTAGGCAACATAGCGAGACCCCATCTCTATTTTATTAAATAAAAAAAATTTTAAACCTCTGAGCAATATAGGAGTATGTAAAGAGACAAAATCTATGACTTACTGGTGTCCCTGAAAGAGAGGTAGAGAAAGCAAGCAACTTGGTAAACATATTTGAGGGTATTGTCCATGAGAATTTCCCCAACCATGGTAGAGAGACTGACATTCAAATTCAGAAAATACAGAGAACCCCTGTGAGATACTGTACAGGACAACCATCCCCAAGACACATAGTCATCAGATTTTTCAAGGTCAACATGAGAGAAAAAATATTAAAGGCAGCTAGAGAGAAGGAGCAAGTCACCTACAAAGGGAACCACATCAGCTTAACAGCAGTCCTTCCAGCAGAAACCCTACAAGCCAGAAGGCACAGGGGGCATATATTCAGCATTCTTAATGAAAAGACATTCCAACCGAGAAATTTCATATCCAGCCAAACTAAGCTTCATAAGCAAAGGAGAAATAAGATCCTTTTCAGACAGCAAATGCCAAGGGAATTCATTACCACCAGACCTGCCTTACAAGAGGTCCTCAAGGGAGTGCTAACTATGGAAACAAAAGACTGTTGCCAGCCACCACAAAAAAACACATTAAGTACATAGACCATTGACACCATAAAGCAACTACACAATCAAGTCTGCATAGTAACCGGCTGATATCACAATAACAGTATCAAACTGCACATATCAATATTAACCTTGAATATAAAGGTGCAAAATGCCCCACTTAAAAGACACAGAGTAGCGAGTTAAAAAACTAGACCCAACTATTTGCTGTCTTCAAGAGACCCATCTCACATGCAGTGACACCCACAGGTTCAAAGTAAAGGGATGGAGAAAAATCTACCAAGCAAATGTAAAACAAAAAAGGCAGGGTTGCTATTCTAATTTCAGACAAAATGGACTTTAAACCAACAAGTCAAAAATGACAAAGAAGGTAAAAGATTTAATTTAACGAGAAGAATTAACTATCCTAAATACATATGCACCCAACATAGGAATACCTAGATTCATAAAACAAGTTCTTAGAGAGCTACAAAGAGACTTAGAAAACCACACAATAATAGGGGAAGACTTCGATACCTCCACTGACAGTGTTAGACAGATCACTGAGGCAGAAAACTAAGAATGATATTTGGGACCTGAACTCAACACTTGACCAAATGGACTTAACAACATCTCCAGAACTCTCCACCCCAAAACAATAGAATATACATTCTTCTTATCTGTACATGGCACACACTCTAAAATTGGCTACATAATCGGCCATAAAAATGGTTTTCAGCAAATTCAGAAAAACTGAATCTTACCAATCACACTCCAGGACAAGAGGGCAATAAAAATAGAAATCAATACAAAGAAGATTGCACAAAACCATACAATTATATGGAAATTAAACAACCTGCTCCTGAATGACTTCTGGGTAAACAAGGAAATTAAGGCAGGTATCAAGAAATTCTTCAAAACTAATAAAAACAAAGAACTTATCAGAATCTCTGAAACATACCCAAAGCAGTATTAAGCAGAAAGTTAAATCCTCACATCAAAAAGCTAGAAAGATCTCAAATTAACCACCTAATATCACACCTAGAGGAATTAGAAAAACAAGAGCAAACCAATCCCAAAGCTAGCAGAAGATAAGAAATAACCAAAATCAGAGATGAACTGAGTTGAGACTTGGGAAACCATACAAAAGAACAAAATCATAAATTGTTTCCTTGAAAAAATAAATAAGATTGGTAGACCACTAACTAGACGAATAAAGAAGAAGAGAGATCTAAGTAAACACAATCAGAAATGTCAGAAATGACTTTACCACTGACTCCAAAGAAATACAAAGGAAAAAGAACCCTCACGGACTATTATAAGCACCAGTGCACACAAACTAAGAAACCTACAAGAAATGGATAAAATTTCTAGAAACATACAACCTCCCAATATTGAACCAGTAAGAAATTGAAATCCTTGTCCCAAAATTGAATTAGTAATAATTAAAAAAAAATCCCTACCTACCAGGAAAAGCTCTGGACCAGATGGATTCACAGCCAAATTCTACCAGATGTCTAAAGAAGATCTGGTACCTACTGAAACTTTTCCAAAAAGTTGAGAAGGAGGGACTCTTCCCTCACTTATTGTTTGAAGGCAGACTCATTCTGATACCAAAACCTGGCAGAGACACACAAAAAAGGAAAACTTCAGACCAACATCCTTGATGAACACAGATCCAAAAATTTTCAACAGATTACTGGCAATCCAAATTCATCATCACATCAAAAAGCTAACCCACCACAATCAAGTAGGCTTTATCCATGGGATGCAAGGTTGGTTCAATATATGCAAATCAATAAATGTGATTCATCACATAAACGGAACTAAAGACAAAAACCACACGATTATCTCAATAGATGCAGAAAAGGCTCTTCAATAAAATTCAACATCCCTTCATGTTAAAAACCTCAACCAACTAGGCACTGAAGGAACGTAACACAAAATAATAAGAGCCATCTATGCAAACCTACAGCCAACATCATACTGAATGGGTAAAAGTTGGAAGCATTCCTTTTGAGAACCAGAAAAAGATAAGGATGCCCTCTCTCGCTACTCCTATTCAACATACTTCTGGTAGTCCTAGCCAGAGCAATCAGGCAACAGAAAAAAAATAAAAGACATGCAAATAAGAAGACAGGAAGTCAAACTATCCCTGTTTGCAGATAATATGATTCTATACCTAGAAAGCCCAATAGTCTCTGCCTCAAGGCTCCTAGATCTGATAAACAACTTTAGCAAAGTTTCAGAATACAAAATCAATGTATGAAAATCAGAAGCATTTTTATACACCAACAACATTCAAGCTGAGAGTCAAATCAAGAATGTAATCCCACTCACAACAGCCTCACACAAAAAATAAATACATAGGAATATACTTAACCAGGGCAGTGAGACATCTCTATAATGAGAATTACAAACGCTACTGAAAGAAATTCAAGATGACACAAATGGAAAAACATTCCATGCTCACGGATAGGAAAAATCAATATTGCTAAAATGACCATATTCCCCAAAGCAATTTACAGATTTAATGCTATTCCTATCTAACTACCAATGAAATTTTTCACATAATTACAAAAAACTATTCTAAAATTCATATGAAACAAAAAAATAGCCCGAATAGCCAAAGTAACCCTAATCGAAAAGTACAAAGCTGGAGACATCACATTACTTAATTTCAAACTATATTATGAGTCTACAGTAACCAAAACAACATGATTCTGGTACAAAAACAGACACACAGACCAATGGAACAGAATAGAGAGCCAAGAAATAAAGTCACACACCAACACCATCTGACCTTTGACAAAGTCAACAAAAGCAGTGAGGAAAGGATTCCATATTCAATAAATGGTGCTGAGATAACTGGCTAGCCATATGCAGAAGACTGAAACTGGACTCCTTCCTTTCATCATATACAAAAATCAACTCAAGATGGATTAAATACTTAAATGTAAAACCTAAAACCATAAAAATCCTGGAAAATAACCTAAAAAATACCATTCTGGACATACGACCTGGCAGAGATTTCATGATGAAGAAACCAAAAGCAATTGCAACAAAAACAAAAATTAACAAACTGACCTAATTAAACTAAAGCGCTTCTATACAGAAAAAAACCCCACAAACTATTAACCCAGTAAACATACGGCCTAGCAAACTATGCATCTGGCAAAAGTCTAATATCCAGACTCTATAAAGAACTTAAACAAATTAACACGCAAAAAACAACTCCATTAAAAAGTGGACAAAGGACATGAGCAGACACTTTTCAAAAGAAGACATACATAGGGCCAAAAGGCGTATGAAAAAAAGTTCAACATCACTAATCATCAGACAAATGCAAATCAAAACCACACTGAGGTACCATCTCATACCAGTCAGAACGGCTATTAATAAAACCGCAAAAAATAACAGCCGCTGGAGAAGTTGCACAGAAAAGGAAATGCTTATATACTGCTGGTGGGAGCGTAAATTAGTTCAGCCACTAGGGAAAACAGTTTGGCATTTTCTCAAAGTACTTAAAACAGGACTACCATTTAGCCCAGAAATCCCATTATTGGGTATATACCCAAAGGAACATAAATTGTTTTGCCCCAAAGACACGTGGACACATATGTTCACCTAGCACTATTCGTAACAGTAAAGACATGGAATCAACCTAAATGTCCATCAATGGTAGACTGGATAAAGAAAATGTGGTACGTATACATCATGGAATACTACATAGCCATTAAAAAAAAGGTCATGTCCTTTGCAGCAACATGGATGGGGCTGGAGGCCATTATCCTAAGCGAACTAATGCAGGAACAGAAAACTAAAGACTACGTGTTTTAACTTATAACTGGACACAAGGAAGGGAACAACAGACACTGAGGCGTACTTGAGGGTGGAGGGTGGGAGGAGAGTGGGGATCAAAACAAACTACCTATCAAGAAACCTGCTTATCACCTGGGTGACAAAATAATCTGTACACCAAACCTCTATGACACAAAATTTACCTACGTAACAAACCTGCATATGTACCCCTGAACCTAAATGTTTAATATTTTTAAAAATGCAAATTTAAAGGATTTGGTTTTCCTTTGTAATTGCATCGTCATGCAATACGTAGATGTCCACCTTCTTTGCTCCAGTACATTTGATAATTTATTGGCAGATACTCGATACCTTTTGGATGATCTGACTTAAAAGGGACATTGTTTTCAAGAGACAAAATATAATTTCACTATCCTTAGTTTTCCTATTTTCAGTTTCACTCTCTAAAACATGACATCTCCTGTAAGGGAAAAACTTTGTCTCCAGATGTATGAAAAGCATCCTTAATTACACTTTATCTAAAACAATGAGACAACTCCTGGACTTTCTCAGACTGGTTGGCTATTGTAGAATGTGGATTCCTTGTCTGAACCCCTAGAACGAGAATTAACCTCTATAACAGTATTGGATCCTTTTAAAAACCTCCCTTTCCTCTTCCCCCAGCTTGGGACTCCCCAACTACTCCTTGCCCTTCTGCCTATTCATTCATGAGAGAGAACATACTTTAGATGTCCTGTCTCAGAAATACAAAAGGAGCCTGAGGCCCATTGGATATTTTACCTTCTTGCTAGGCCCTATAGCTCAAGCCTTCCTTCCTTGCTTCTGAGTTGTCATGGCAACAGCAAATTTGATTCAAGCCACAGTTGATTTTGTGCTAGGTCATACTTCGCACACTTCTGTGCCCAAGTGGTTCACATCTTTGTCCTGACTGCGAACCCCCAACGTTTTTCAACCTCTAACCTTACCTCTTATGAGATCCTTTTGTTTGCTCCTTCTCACATTACTATTCACCATTACCAAAATCTTAACCTTGTTACCATTTCTCTCCCAACTGAAGTACAACCACCATGACTGTATTTCAGCCACCTAAGCTCTAACCTTTCCCCGTCCTGATCTTTCTGAAGTACCTCTTATAGATCCAGATCTCATTTTCTTTGTTGATAGTTCATACCTCTGACTTCAGAAAGAGGTTTCCAGGCTGAATATGCCATTGCATATATCCACAGTCCCATAACATATGAGGCTTTACCCAGTGCAAATTATATCAGATAGAATAATTTGTGGCTCTCACAAGAACCTACACTTTAGCTAAGAATCAAAGAGTTAACATCAACACAGATAACAGATATGTTTTTAGGGTATTACATGACTTTGACCTGTTGTGGAAAGCCAGGGAATTTGTGACTACTAGTTTAAAATGGGAAATGTGGGTAACCTCCTAGAGGCCTTATTATTACAAGAGCTGGCCATACTCAAGATAGAAGCTTATATGGGCAATAGACCCCTAAGGCAAGGGGAAGCTCAGCTGATAAGTATGCTAAGTAGCAGTTTATAAATCTGTCCCAGTCCCACTGTAATCAGACCAGATATTAAACCTACTCAGTTTGCCAATTTATCCTCTATTTGAGGACATTAAAATATCTCAGTTAAAGGCCCCTGAAGATGAAAAGGCTAATTGAAAACAAGGTGGATGTTTTACCCACCAAAAAGTCCAAAGATAGGCTTTGAAGACACTGAGAAGGCTACTTGGGCTCTCCTTCGTCCCTGACCTGAAGTTCAGTCTTCACAAAATTTTTCATCATGGGAAAATACTGACTCAATGCCTTCATCATCATTTGTGGGGAAACTTCACTCCTTACTTGGAATATCTGCCAACAACAGAATCCTGGAAAAGTTATAAAGGTAGAACGAGGAAGAGAGCCACCTCTAGCAGGACTCTTTCTCTATTGGCAAAGATATTTTATTCAACTTCCTAAGTCAGTGTTATTAATATGCCCTGGCCATTGTTTTTATGTTCACTTATTGACTAGAAGCTTTTCCACGTAAGAAGCCCACAGCTGCAACTGTTTGTTCTCTTAGAACAAATTTTCCCCTCCTGAGGAATTCTACTTGCCCTGTCAAGTGACCAGGGAACTCATCGCACCAGTAAAGTCATCCAAAAAAATCCAAGAGTTCTTCCTCTGTCCCCCAAATTACATGATCCTCACCATATCCAGTCATGCAGAATGATTGAACAAGCAAACAGACAAAACTAAAATTTTCAAAACGTTCTGAGGTGAGGCCAGGTGTGGTGGCTCATTCCTGTAATCCCAGAACTTTGGGAGGCTAAGGCAGGAGGATTACTTGAGACCAGCC